>NC_000010.11:84688549-84840064 GCF_000001405.40 Homo sapiens
ATCTAGACTGATTTATTTAAAATGTATTTTATTTATTTATTTAAACGTAAAATGGATACTGGTTATGGCTGTGACAGAGACAAAGGACCCTGCACTCCACCAAGCTGCAATTCTTAAATGTCCACACCATTTGAGTATCTGATGGCACACATCAGATAGCCCATCCTTTTATCTCACCCTCCTACATTTTCCCATTTCCCATCCTTTGCTCAGACCAACGTGGCCTGATGTGAGGAAGCAGTAGGAAAGCCTTTCACAGCCTTAACAGTGTTCAGGCGCTGGAACCTTCTTTGGAATTTCCTGTTAAGTGAGAGATTAAATATCTTTTGTGGTTTTTTTTTTTTTTTGGTATTTTTAGTAGAGACAGGGTTTCACCATGTTGGTCAAGATGGTCTCAAGCTCCTGACCTTGTGATCCGCCCGCCTCGGCCTCCCAAAAGTGCTGGGATTACAGGTGTGAGCCACCGTGCCTGGCCTAATGTCCTTTGTTTTTAAAGCATTTGTATTTGGTTTTTCTATTCCTCAAAGCTAAAAACATGCTGGCGGCATTTATAACATTTAAAGAACCTTCCAATTAAAAAATCTGGTCGCTGCTGTATTTCTGTACCCACTCTCTTTTATTCCAAGGTGCTGTTCTGTCCCATTTCTGTCTATGGAAATTCCTAGCACTTTTCAAAGGTTACTGCTTTTTTGAAGACTTCTGTGATCATCTCCCATAGAAGTGATCTGTGTTTATTGTGGTCACTAGCCACCCAATTCATGTAGTTTCATATATATGTACATATTCTCTCTTAATTGATATCTACACAACATTGAATCATACAATATGGCATGTCTTCCTATTTATTCATGTTTCCCTTTATTTTATGTTCCTCATTAAATTTTATAGTTTTCTTCATATAGATCCCTTATGTTTATCTTTTAATGGATTTTATGCACACAATATTAAAATACTTCTAATCATTTTTGCTGCTGTCCTCTCTCATGGGGACCATTCTTCCAAGACTTGATGACTGAGTCTTTTTTATACCATTCACTCTATTTAATGAGTGAATCCTATATATTAGAGTTATATCTTCTGTATTTCCTAATCGTTTTAGATGAATTAGCTTCTTGAATCCACATATGACACTTTGAGCAAAGCACCATTACATTTTTAGCCATTTTGCATGTAAGAAAATCGAGACAGAGAGAATTTGAGTAAGTTAGTAAAGATCATATCACCAGTAAGCAATAGGGCTGGTGTTCAAACTCTGAGGTCTGACTTTTGAGCCTGTGTTCCTAACCACTAAACTATAGTGCCTCAACAGACATGAGATTCCATCTCAGAATGAGAGAAAGATGTTAAGCAAACACAGAAATAACCACTAAGGATAGTTGTGGTAAATACAGTAAGGTAAAAGCACAAGCTGTTACTCATCTCTGACAGTCCTGTGGACCTGGCCTGAGGTGATGAGGAAGACCTCCTGTCGGTGTGACGTTTGGGCTGTGGCATGAAGGGTGAGCAGGAAATGGTCAGGCAAAGGTGTCAGGAGAAGAGCACTTGAAGTAGAATCACTAGATCTTCACCCCAGAAAATCCCGACACAGGACTGCATCCAAAGTATTCAGAGAAAGCAGAGAGAACAGAGAACACATAAATGAAGCTGGAGAAGCTGAGCCTGCTGGGCTTTCTGAGGACTGCAGACTGTCTTCTGGGAGCAATGGGGCACTACTGATGGGTTGAAGGGGGCGATAACACATTTGGCTTTAGAATAGAGGGTGTGTGGAAGGTGACAAGAATGCAAGTGGGCTAAGTAGCTATTTCAGGAATCCAAGTAAGAGTCTAGTGATGAGTGTAGACATGGTTAGCTGTAGTTAAAGTTTAGGTATGTATATTTTCAGGTAAAATATGGAAGGCTTGATGCCTTGAAGGTAAGAGATGAAGGAGAACATTGTATCAAGGATAACTTTCACGGCTCTTGCTGCTATCATTGGTTACTTGTGATTGTTGCTGATTGCTAAATTGTGAAACAAATTTAGGAAGAAAATGCATTTATTCAACAACTTTTAGTAGATGTTTATTAAGCACTTACTCTATTTTGAAAATTTTATCTAGACCTTGAGCAAACAACTGAGAACAACACGGATGCACTTTCTGCTCTCATGAAACTAACATTCTACTGGAGAAGAGAGAATTCAAACTAATAATTAAACAATTACTTTCAGTAGTAAAAATGAATCAAGAATTTAAGGAAGCTACAAAAGCTTATACTTGGAGGCCTGATTTGGTCAGGGAGGGTAAAATTCACTTTGCTATGTAGAGAGTTGGATTTGGTAGGAGTGAGGACACTGGATGTGGGAAGAACCACTAAGAACATCTGCAGGATGAAAGTCGACAGTATGATTGGTGGAAATGGAAAGACATGGATAAGTCAGAGAGTCAGGTGGTTTGTAAAGTTGACATGAATTGTGAAGATGAGGAAAGTCTCAAGAATATCTTCTGCTGGAACAGTTGGGTGGATGTGGTACCACAGGAACACTGATGGAAGAGCAGGCTTTAGGGGAAAGTATTTTATCTGAGGTTCCTGTGAAATAGCCAAGTGGAGATGGCTGTTTGTTGGTATCTGGATCTCAAAAGAGAGTTTCAGTTTGCAGTTATAAACAGGGATATACAAATGGAAGGTGTTGAAAGCCAAGGGAGTATATGAAGTCCTCTGTAGAGGGAGTAGAGAGAAAGAAGAAAAAAGACCAGGGAAATTTCAGAGGAAATTTAACATTTAAAGATTGGATTTAAATGTTTAATCTTATGTCATGTGAATTTCAACTTAATAATTTTGAAAAAACAATCTCAGTAATAAAGATGGGAACTTCGAGAAGGATCTGGCAAAAGGGACTGAAAAAGATTGGCTGGAGAGATGGGAGTAAGGTGCCCTGGAAGCCAAGGAAAGAAGGCATTTCTATGAAGAGTTCGTGGCCAACTTAATGCTGATAACAATTATGATGAAATCTATAAAGTGTTCAAAGCCTTTGTTTAGCTTATTTATTTTTATATATCTTATTCCTAGAACAGTTCCTGGCCCTAATGTTGAGTGCTCAATAATTACTTGTTGAAAGAGTAAAAAAAAAAAAAAAAAATCACAGCCATTCCAGTGGCTTAATGGACACAGAACACAGGTAGGAATTGGTTACTAGGTAGAAGATAAGGAAATGGAACCAGAATTTATAGCCAAATCTTTTAACAAGTTTGACTTGAAAACAGAGAAATAAAGTATTAACTGGATGTGGAATGTGAGATTAAAGCTGGATGTACTTTTTAAAATTTAGGAACAAAATATCACCTAATGCAACTGGAAACAATTAAATAGAGCTGAAACGGGTAGAGATGCAGGTGCGTAGGTGGGGAGGATAATTGGAGTGAGGCTCTTGAAGAGGCAGGGATGATGGTGTGCAACAGACACATGAGGATGAACATTGCCAGGAAGAGAACTCTCCTTCCATTGTAACAAGAGAAAAGGAGGGTAAAATGGGAACCAACATGGAGATATTAGTAAATGTGGAGGTAGAACGTGGAGGGAGTTTGGTCTGATACTTTCTTTGAAGAATAAGTCAAGATCATGAGCAGAGCAGGAGAAAGGGAAGTCAAAGTTTTCAGAACAGCGAGAATGGGCATTTCCTGAGAGATAAAAAAGACAAGCTCAACAGGATTGAAGGCCCCCTTAAGGTTAGTGAACAATTATTTACTGTAACCCCCATTTGTAGAAATTGTATCTATTCAGTAGCCTGAGCTAATGAATGTTTATTCATTTGACACATATTTTTTGAGTGCCTATTATGTGTCATTGTGATAGAATCTCAGAGAAATAAAAGGTATCCAAAATGTAGACATTATCCTCAAGAGAATGTTCTACAGGGGAGCCACATATTTATAAAGCAAAGACACAGATGTAAAGTTCAACCATGATAAGTGCCCTAAAGAAGAGATGCCAAAACTTCTAGAATGGTGAAATGAGGACTTTCATAAGTCCGCTCCTGCATAAAGCAGTAAAATCACTGACAAAAACTGTCAACATTGACTTTTTCAGAACTCTGAAAATTAACTAAAAGCTAGCAAGGTTCTAAAGAATGTATATTCAAGAAAAATGACTGTCTGGAAGAACAGTGAGCTCTGTGACATTTGAACTTTCTCTATTCCGAAACTTCTTTCCACAGAAGCATGAACATAAGAGTCTTTGTAACCACAGTGAGTGTGAAAACTAGCACTAACAACCACTGGATGGGGCAGACTAATTTGGACCTCCCCCAAAAGCCCTATCCCTAGAGAATTGTTATTATTTGATATGTCTGCCAATTTCCTGAAAATGACCAATTTGCAAATTGTTATTATTTTCCCCAATTTAGAGCTTACTCAAGAGGAAAAACTGTATCTCCAGGGCATTTTTCAAAAAATAATCAGTACTGGTTTTTAAATATCGGAGCTGCCTGAAGTAGAGATACAAGTTGGGGCAAATAAGAAGCTGACCACAAAATTTAGAAAAATTTGGGAAATGAAATGGCTATAGAGGATTTAAAAAGCTTTGATGTGTTTCTACAGATCTAGAAGGCCATGGTCATGGGCAAGGCTGTGCACATGCCCAGAAAATACCAGAGGTAGTCCTCATGTCTCAACTCTGGCAGACCTAAAGGGTTTGCACAAGTAGGAAGTGAAGGCTAAGGCAGAGTTTTAAACCACTCTAGTGCTGAAGGCATGACTCAACATACACACAGAGCTCCTCTGCAAAGGTAGAAGACTTATTGCCTGGAGTCATTTAAAAAAATTTGTGTTCTATCATTATCTGACCACCAAGTTAGACAAACAGAATTCAGTGACTACACAGTACAGGAAATACTGTCTTTAAAGAATTAGTCCAGGAAAGTCACTAAACAAACAGACAGACAGCCATGACAATAATAACAACAAAATACAGCAACAATAGTAAAGCTTGGGAGAGTGGGTTGGATCTCATTTTCAGAGTTGCCATGTTCTATTGTCTACATTTCAACTAAAAATTACTTATGAGACAGGTAAATAAACAGGAAATTGTAGTCCATACATAAGAAAAACAGCTATCAATAGAAACTGTCTCTGAGGGTACTCAGATGTTGGGCTTCCTAGGCAAGCACTTTATATCAGCTCTCATAAGTATGTTCAAAGAAGTAAAGAAAACCATGTCTAAAGAATTAAAGACAATCACAAGCACTGTGTCTCACGAAATAGAGAATATCAATAAAGAGACAAAGATTATAAAGAAGCAAATAGAAATTCTGGAGTTGGAAAGTTCAATAATGAAATAAAACATTTACTAGAGGAGCTCAACGTCAGATATGAACTAACAGAATAAAAAATCAGCAAATGTGAAAATAGGCCAATTGGGATTATACAGTTTGAGAAAAAGAAAGATAAAATAATGAAAATGAATAGATCAATGGAGACCCATATGACACCATGAAGCAAAACAATATGTAACAGGAGTCTCAGAAGGAGAGGAGAGAGAAAGGGGGGAGAAAGCACATTTGGATAATAGCCCCAAACTCCCCAAATGTGATGAAAAACATTAATCTACACATCCAGGAAGCTCAACAAACTCCAGATTAAAGATGAAAAAATTAAAAGCCTAGACATATCATAAATGATCACAAGCCAAAGACAAATTTAGCTAGGTTGTAGGTTTATGATCAGTATACAAAGCCCAATACAATATTTATACGATAGCAATACACAATCTGAAAATGGAATAAATATAATTCTATTTACAGTAAGAAAAATAATATAACAGCATATTCTATATACACAGAATGCTTAGGAATAAATTTAATAAAATGAACTACAAGACTTATACACTGAGAACTACAAAACATTCTTGGAAGAAATTAAAGAAGGCCAAAATAACATTTCATGTTAATGGATCAGAAGGCTTAATATTAATTAAGATGGCAACACTCTCAAATAAACTATAGATTCAACATGATATAAAAATTCTAGCTGCCCTTTTTTTCTGTGGTCTTTTGTGCTTCCATACAAATTTTATTATTGTTTTTCTATTTAATTGAACAATGTCATTGAAATTTTGATAGGGATGCATCGAATCTGCAAATCTCTTTGGGTAAAATGGACATTTTAACAATATTAATTCTTCTAACCCATGAACGCAGGATATCTTTTATTTTGTCTTTTTCAATTTCTTTCATTAATGTTTTACAGTTTTTAGTGTAAAGGTTTTTCATCTCCTTGGTTAAATTTATTCCTAAGAATTTTTTTTTGTAGTCATTGTAAATGGGATTGTTTCCTTGATGTCTTTTTCAGATAGTTTGTTGTTAGTGTGTAGAAATGCTACTGATATTGTATGATTTTATATCCTGCAACTTTACTAAATTCTACACTTTAAATAGGTAAATTTTGTGGTATTTGAATTAACTAGTGATTAGGAAAAACATAAGAGGTGCATGGTTTAGGTTTAATGCGAATTCTTGCCTCATCTGTGAGGTTTGAACTCCATTTTGGGTGTGAGTACACTGCTATGGGAGGTTCAAAACTTCTAACCAGTGATATTTTCCTCAAAACCTTGAGTCATTGTCCCCCTTCTTTGTTTCTTTTCCTCAATTTTTCTTTCTTTTAAAGAGTTTTCTTTTTCTTTTAAAGTTTTACTTTGAAATATTTTGGGTATTTGCAAATTATAAAATCATACAATGAATGACCGTGTAGGTATTCACCCAACTGAAGCAATTCAACATTATTAATTTGATTGAGATACAAGTGGACTTTTCTTCCTCTGGCAAAGTTTTTGTCCTTCCAGAGTATTAGATTTGGTTTTACTAGATTGTATTTTTCTTCACCCTCCTCAAATTTTGCTTAGTGCCCCTTGATCTGCTTGATGAGTTTCTGAGAAACATTCTCCTCCCAAAGCATTAGGTGCCCCTCATTTCAGTATTTTAATTTAGGTCTCTAGAAAACCAAAGCTGGCCATTGAGGCTCCCCAGCCTTATTTCTCTTTCAGGGCTCACTGTGGATGAAGGGCAGAGATATAACTTAGCAGCACTGCTTATGGCCTCTGGGACTTAATCAGGATTTTGAATCACTCAAGAAACATCTCAGGTTCCTTTTCTGTATCCATAGAAATTAGAAGACTAGAAGGGGCAGGTGATACTGAATCTTTGCAAATTGAATGCTGCCTCTTGTAGAGATTTTCCAGACTACTCCCTGTAAACAGCCAACAAAAATCCAGCAGGATGGTTTTATACACATATGGGTAAGAGTCATGGTTAGATATGATTTGAGGTCTTGAGCATAATTTTAAAAAATGATGCTTAAGAGAGATCAACATAAAAATGTGTGCTTAGGTTCTTAAAATCAATAACATGCAATGTTGGTACACTAATTAGATCTTCCCAATGCTCTGTTGAAATCATTCCTGGAAACCATTTATGAATCCCAGGGATAGGAGGCCTGCTCACCCTAGTTCTGCAGAGGGAACATGATGTCATGGACAGTAATGTGCTCGTCAGCTGTGTGCCCCTGGGAGGACAGCTCTGAGTCTTTTCCTTTTGTTGACAGATTCTTCAGCAGCTCCTGATGGCTTCACAGCTTTGTGCTTCATGGATTATTGTTCCACATGTCACTTTTGTGCATTGTCTTGCTTCTGTTCTTGCAGTTGTGTCTCATATTTCTCCTCGCTGACACATTTCTGGCTATTTATAAGACCCTGCTGACACCAGCCACGGCTTCTTTTACTGGAGCTGATACAGGGTCCTCCCTGCAAATACCCCCATTCCTGGGATGAACTGTGACTCCAACTCTATGTCAAAGGAAGGAAATAATGCCTCGGGATGTTGCATTTGGAGTTTGGGGCTAGAACGCCACAGGATGGAAGGAGGATGGGGCCACTGCCCCTCTGCCATCCCCGGGGCTCAGATCTGAGAGTGTGAACTCTGCGGGAGAGAGTCCCATTAGGACAAATCTACCCATCTGTCTGCAGCCTGGGAGCTGCCTCAAAGCCCACCTTGTCCATGTGTCCTTCCTCTCCTCTTTGATTGTGTAATGAAACTCCCTAGGTCAGCACAGTTCTTCTTCCCGAAGCTTCAGATGAGTGGCTTTGCTGAAAACTAAGCTTGCATTTTCCCGAAGCCCTGCCAATTGTGTAGTGGAGAAGGCCTAAAAGCTTTTTGAGTACCAGTTCTGGGCATTTAGCTTTACTTTCTACCCTTTGTAAACAGCAACAGTAGCAGAGTGTACTTAAAGGACAAACTAGCAGAAAATCCTTTGAGACTTGAGGCCTTTTCAAGTGTTGAGATGGGTGCCAGGCAAAGTCCTCTATGTGAGTTAAGAGTCATTGTCCATCCCTACAGCTCTCATAGCTGAGGGGCTCAGTGCTGCTCTGCCTCCTGCCTTGTCTGCAGCTACCTATGGCCTCAGACGTGCCCTTTTCTCTCTTGGCTGGTACCCTTCTGGGGGTGAGCAGAACTTTACACCCGTTATCCTCCTTTTTTTTCTCTGGGTTCAGCTTGGGCAGCCAAAAGTACCCAAAAGATTTTCAATATGTTTTTGGACAGTGTGTTGTTAATAGAAGCATTATATGTATAATATAATATAATATAATATAATATAATATAATATAATATAATATAATATAATATAATATAATATATACCTATTACATGTGGAAACACAGAAATAATGTTTCTATACGTATAATGTTTCTACATTATGAATGTTTGTATGTGGTGTATGTTTTTGTTTTACATTAACATTACATAATGTTTTACATTATGGACTTTTTGTATGTTGTGTATATCTTGTTCACGGCTGTATCCCCAGCTTCTAGAACAGTGCCTGGCGCACAGTCAGTCAGTAGTAAGTGGTTTGTCACCTGTGGCAAGTCTCTTGCAATCTAATCCTCAGTTCCTATACACTTTATAGTGTTAAGATTGACTGATCTATGCTATTGGGTTTGAGATCTTTAGGAAGTGTCCAGCTTTGGATCTGGGCTCAATGTTATATTTGGGAAATTTGGAATTTTTCAAAACCACCAGAAATGACAGTTGTATCAGCTTGTGACTGAGAGCGGAGTGTCTATGTGGTGCTATCTTGGTCCATCTGAATTGAGAATCTGAGGTTCTCTCTAGTGCCCAATGTCTAAACTGCTGCTATCTCTATCATTACAGAAAACCAAGTAGAAAGTAGGCCAGGTCAGGGTCTGGAAGAACTAGACTGAAGCCCAGGAACATTCTTAGAGAGGTGAACCCTGGGGTGAGCAGGGCCCTTCTGGGAATGGCAGTGGCCCGAGCATTCCTCTGCTGTGGCTTTGGCCATGACAGGCATGGACCCCAGAGACAGGGAGCTGGAGCTAATGAGCTAGCCTTTAGAAACAGGCTATTCTCTGCTGGGCACGGTGGCTCACGCCTGTAATCCTAGCACACTGGGAGGCCAAGGTGGGTGGATCACGAGGTCAGGAGTTCAAGAGGAGCCTGACCAACAATGATGAAACCACATCACTACTAAAAATACAAAAATTAGCTGGGCATGGTGGCAGGTGCCTATAATCCCAGCTATTCGGGAGGCTGAGGCAGGAGAATGACTTGAACCCAGGAGGCGGAGGTTGCAGTGAGCCGAGATCACACCACTGCATTCCAGCCTGAGCAACAGAGCGAGACTCTGTCTCAAAAAAACAAAAAATAGGCTGTTCTAGTAAAAAGTGAGGCTGACAAGAAAAATACTGGGTGAGAGAGAGAGAGAGACAGAGAGATACAGAGAAAGGAACAGACTGGATTTTTGAGCAAGTTAGCTTATCTAATACTTGAATTTGGAAGGCATGGACTTGTGCCTACCTTTGGAGAGAACTGAGTCTGAAAGAATACGGCCTTGAGCTACTGAGGGCTCACTGCTCTAGGAGAAAAGGGCAGTGAATGTCTGAAGCTGGGGAAAGTAAGGGAATCAGAAGGATGTCTTGGACCAAGGCCCTGTTGTGAATTCAGCAGTGTTGCTTCTAGGAGCAGAGAGCATGGTTTAGCCAGAGAAGATCACCAATAGAGGAATGAGAATGAAGATGTGTGTGTGTTGACTCAGTCACACGGTGAGGCTCAGGGAGAGACAAAGGGACAATAGCAAAAGCCCAAATGTTGTGTAGGATGCAGAAGAGGCAGGAGGGAGGTGATTTCCTCTTGTCTAAAGCTGCTTGGTGTTCTAAGCAGGCTAAGACGAGAGACCCTGCCATTGTGGAGCTTCTATTCTCATGGAGAATTCAGGATATCAAACATGATTCCACTCATCAGAAATGTCTGAGTCGAATCTCTGTTCTAGCCAAGAGTCTTAGGGAGCTTGAAGGTAAATTCGATACAACTCTACTTTTCTATGCTGTCTGTGTCCCATGACATATTCTCCAGATCCACAATGGTGGAGAGTTCACTGCATCATGAAACAGCTCATTTGTCACAACTCAGGTAGCCAGGGGACCCTGGAAGCATCCTGAGCCCTCAACAACACAGGCCTATTTAGGGAGGAAGAGGCTGGACCAATGAAATAGGGTTCGTACACAGCAAGCAGAGATGGAGTGAACTGCTGGGGGAGTATGGGAACTGGTGGCTGAGTTCCTCTTCTGCAGGGCAAGGCAGCTTCCACTGGGCTGGGGGACAGCAGAACCATGTGGGGGCAGTCAGGATGGTTTTCCCACAGCATGCTATACCTTCCATCTTTCCATTTCCATTAGCCTTGGATTTTAGTCCCTGTGGGATAGTAAGAGCATGTCTTTGCTGCAACCAAGGAAGAAGCTGGAGCTGAATACACCACCTAGAGAAGGAAAGGTCTTGCTAAAATATCTACATTGCTCTGGGCAGCCCTGGAGAACAATTCTGGAAAACAGAGAGAACAGAGAAACCAAAAATGTGAAGACAAGCTTGTCAGTTTGCAGAAGTTTTTTCATTTTAGCTGATATGTGTTTATCGAGAACACGTTATAACCGTGGTCCTTGGATGGGTGAATGGGATCTCAGGGTTATTACCCATCGATGTGTGAAAGTTAAGTACTGACAGCAGGAATGGGGTGTAGGTGCCACCTTAGTGGGACAAACATCGCAACTGTGGATGGAGGGTTAGCAAAGACTTAGAGCAGGAGTGAGAATGATGGGCAGGACCCACATAGGGAGAAGGTAGAAGAGGCCTTTCAGAGGTAGAAGTGACACCAAGGAAGACTCAGCCACAGGACTTGACAAAGCATTTCTGAGAGACCGAAAGACCCATCTGGGTATAATGGATGCAAAAGAGAGAGGAGGTAGACAGGAAAGTTGGGGCCAAATGGGGAAGAATTTTGCATGCTGCGTGAAGGAGTTTGCATCTCATGTTTAGCCACTCCATCAGTTTCCTTCCAACTCCTCTGTTGGGAGGCAGTTTCCCGCTCCATAAGTCCTGATGAGTGGTCTTCGTGTGCCTTTGTGTCTCAGACTCGAGTTCTATTCCACTATCACCATATTTTCTACAAGGCGATGGCCTTCAGACCCTGGGTTCTTCCACAAAGGCAGGGAAGTGCAGTGGGCAGATGTGCAGGCTGGGAACCTGGCTGACCTGGGCTATAATCCTGCCCCTGCCCCCCATTAGCTTCATGATCATAAGCAAGGACTTCACTGCTCCAGCCTCAGTGATCTCATCTTTAAAATGGGGAAATTAGCATCCGCCTAACATGTATGGTCAGTGGTGGTGTGCATGTGAGCGTGCCTGGGAAACCGAAGCACCTCCCCTTATTCTCTGTGCTTCTGGGTTCCTGTGGTGCTGTTTGGTGTGAAATAAAGAACTAACTGACCTTGAACTCAGTATTCATGTCTTTTTAATATTTTTCTGCTATGTTGGCAAGGTGCTCAATAACAAGAAGCTAAGACAGGGAAATCGTCTAGAAACTTTGAATCCACAGAGGGAAAATAATACAAATATCTAAGTGCCATGTATGCAATATAAATTCATAAGGTATATTGCACATTTTAGAAATATATCGCCTCACTATATATTCTAAATGTCACATAATGGGCTCAGTTTTCTGATATCTCAAATATATCTTCCAGGCTGTCAAGTATATTTTAGAAATGAGTATCTTTTTAATGGCCCATAGTGGGTAACCTCAGCAGAATAGGAGAAAATTCATTATTTCTCCTGGTGCTAAGTGACTTTTACATTCAGAGGTGGTCAGGGAGAGTGAAAAAAGAGACAGTTCTTTTTGGTTTGTGGCTTAGGAAGGGTTAGGGAGGTAAAATGCATTCACAGGGCACTATAGAAATGGCCTGGATGGGAGATGAAAACTATGCTAAATAATGGGAGTGGGAAGGGTGGGGGAGCCTCTGCTGAGCCAGATGAATAGTCTGGGCAGTGGAATACCGGCCAGCATAAGCCCGAGACGCTGTTTAACATTCTGGCTCCATGGCACTTTCCAGGAGAGAAAGGGAAGGATTTGTTGCCACTGCTATAGGGGTGGGAAGGGAGAACAGAGGGGGAGGGAGTGAAACTATATTGGGTACCAACTGCAGGACAGACACTTCATCTAGGTTTTCTTATTTAATCTTCCTCAGATCCTTGGAGGGTGGCATTTTTATCTCTATTTTGCTGACAAAGGAACAGGTTCAGAGCTAAGTAACATGCTAAAGGTTATACTGCTTGGGCCTGGAGCCCAGATGCATATGACTCCAAGTCCAGCCCCATGAGTACAGGATGTGAGGTAGGCCCCTTTGCATTTGCTGAGGGCTAGCCTGCTGGCAAGGCTGCCCTGAATTTTCTCCTGGAGATGGTGGCCGAATGATCTTCAAGGGCTCCAGTCCCTGCCAGTTGTTTATCATCAGCATCTGCAGCAGCAGGAGGAGCTCAGGCAAGGGAGGTTTTCCTAAATGCATCTAGAGGAAAATGCAAAGGCCTGTCCCCAGGTCTTCTTCTCTTTGACAAACTCTATTCCTTACCCGAATACTAACAGTTGTCAGTCTGAAGACTTGGCGGGAAGGATGCAGAAGACAGGAAGCAAGGACCAAGGCACTGCCGAGGCAATTCTGCTGGAGTAGGAGGCTTCCACTCAACCTCACTGCAAATGGACAGTGGGATACCCTTCCTGGCAAGAAGCTGAGCAGCTCTGTTGACCTGGGAAGGAAGGGCCCACTCAGGCATTAGAGTGTCTCCAGGCCTATGAGCTTAATGGAGAGATTGGCAGGGCTGGGGGACAGGGCACCCTCCAGAGGCCTGCCCTCACGGGAAAGACTGAAGACTCTGAGAAAGGTCATCAGTTAAGTAAGACCAGATGATGGGTGGGAGTTAAAGTGCAGAGGGAGGGAGAAGGAAGGGTCAGAGTGGGCAAAGGGGAGTGTTCAGGAGAAATTCTGAAGGTGTCCTGTTGAAGCTCCTGTTATTTTTACTATTCACAGAAGGCTTCTACTCTGAGAGATTGGGGCTTATTTACATGAAGGAGGAAGGAAAGGACATGGTAGACCTTGTCCTGGCTAAGCTGGACCACTGAGGTCCCCACCTGCACAGGGTCTGCTGCCCCAAGGTGGCTTCTCAGAGGGGGAGATCTTCATGTCATGGGCCTGATTTCTTGGAGTTTTTACAGCCCTGAAGCCCACTCTTCTCCATGCCTCTGCCACCAAGCTCTGCCTTTGTCTGGAGGCAATCCAGAGCCAGGTAGGACAAAGGAACACCATCCCTCGGGGCTCATTTCTGGATCCCATTTGGTGTGGTTCCAGCCTTGTTCTCAGTCTGAGACTCATCCAGGACTCAGTTCAGGTGAGTGGATCTTACCTTTTTCTGAGGCTACCCCATCCTTTCTTTGAAAAGGGTCCCTGCCCAGGACACCTGCCCCTCAGGCCTGGGGCTCTGGTCCCAAACTCTTTCTCCTTTACTGGGGCTGGCTCTGAGCTTCAGAAGCCTTTGAGAAGTCCCTTTCCCAAATCGTCTGGCCAGCCCTGCCCTCCAGCCTGTCCTCCAGGTCAGGTCTGTAGCTTGAGGGTTCATGTTTAATGGCCAGCAGGAGCCTGACATGCTGATTGTGAGCACTGAGGTCCATTCAGAATGGGCACTGCCCATGCTGCAGGCAGAAACTATCTTCAACATTATCCCCATAAACACTTGCTCTGCACCAATTCTTTTGCTGCTGACCTTGCTGAGCTTGACTGTGTCTTGGGATATGATGCCATTCACCTGCCTTAAGTGACAGGATGGAACTCTGACTATAATGATTGTAATAACAGAATTTATTGAGTTCTCCTGAGTGTCCTAAGGTCTTCTCTAAATACTTTTTGTCATCTAACTTATTGCAGCCTTCCGGCTCTGATGATCCTCATTTTACAGATGAGAACGCTGCCCATGGTCATCCAGCTGAGATCTGGTAGAGGCAGGATTCAAACCCTGGCAGTCTTACTTCCAAGCCAGAACTTTTGTCTGCTCCATTTCCCTGCACATAAATCCTGTGCAAATGCAGGTTGGGCCACGGGATAGGAGAACATCAAGCATTCCTGGAGCTTAGACAGAAACTCTGATCCAGAGCAGCCTTTCAAAGCAAAGAAGGGTGCAGTCTAGAATGCAGGCTTTGGAGTGAGACAAACATGCGTTGAAATCATCAGCCTTGTGGTTCTGGGTGAGTTGTTATGCTTTGAACCTCAGTTCACCCATCTATAAAATGGGCTTAATGACTGCTACTTTCCAGGGTTTTGTGTGAAATAAAAACATTGAACATGGTACCTGAAATGTTTATCATGAAAGCTCAATGGCTGAAAGCTCTTATTACTGAGACGCACAGGAAGCTACAGCCTTTGTAGCAAGTTGTTCCAGGCTACTTTTGCTTCTGCTGGAGGCAACCCTGGACAAATGCCATGGAAATATCTCTCCTTGCTAATAATTACCCAAATGCTTTGACAGAAGACTCAGGGAAGCATCATTACAGAGAGCCTCTTCTGTACAGCCCCTTGGAAAAACTCTAGCTTTTTGCAGCAGCTTCTGCTGGTCCCCAGAGAGCTGGACAACAAGCAAAATGTTGAGTGGTAAGGAGGAGATAGGCACAGGCCTGCTCCAAAGGGGCTTCCCAGGCAATGGGAGACAGCACCATACAGTGTAGGTTGTGACATGAGTGGCCTCGTCAACAGATTCACTGAAAATAATTTTCTTTAAAAAAGGAAAAAGACTATTCCAGTGAACTGTTTGCAAACTAGAAAGATGCAGACTTCAGTATAAAACAAAGGCGCATTCCAAGCGAACAAAGACAGGTTTTGTCTTTTAGAGAGAAAGTTCCAACCCAGGTTCCCACTCTGGTCTGCTTATGCAAATAAAGGATGTAAACTTGGTGAGTTCTGATTGATTGAGGCTTGCTGATTTCTGATTGGTCAAGGCAGGTCACCATCTTGGTTGATTCAGGTGGCATAAACAGGAACAGATAGCTATGAATACCCCAAAGTTAAGCAAGCCTGGGGTTTTACCCTGAATGCAGAGTACACGTGTGACCTCTAGGAAGCAAATGACTTCTTGGATCTATTTTGAATTTAGGTCCCGTTAGCCATTCAGAATCCATCTTGAGGGATTGATTCTTTTAGGATTCACAGTCTCTGGTGAGTCCTACCTTCTCGTATTCATGTTCTTGTATAGAACCCTCCCAGGTGTATGACTACTTTGGCCACTGGGACACCAACCGATGTGAAGTAAGCAGAGGCTCAACTGATAATGTGGCCTAGAATGTGATGAGGCCAAGGCAGCCATGCAGAGAGATCACATGGAGGAGAACTGAGATGCCCCACAGCCCAGCCACAAGTGCTAGACACGGGAATGAGGCATCAGATACAAACCAGCCCCCAGCTGACTTTCTGTGACCACAAATGCATAGAGCTTTCTTCTCTAAAATTTGAGAAGTACCAGGGTTTCCCTCACATGCTTCCCCAGGGACCTGGCTGTTGGACATGCTTTCTCACCTTCTCATCTCCTAAAGATGTGGATAAATTTAATCTGCAATGGCTTTCGTGGGGCCTCTCTGCCATGACTTGTCTGTCTGCACACAGCAAAGGGTAGGTTGACTCTATGCAGTAATTTGTTCTGTGGACCAGGCAATGTGCTACACTTCCAATGTGCTATCTGGACAGCAGTCCCATACAACCTCTGATTTTGCTGAACTTCAGGCTCACTTGCATGCAGGAGTCACACCTGCCCAGCCATTCCTACTTCCATACACAGAGTCAGTTGTGTTTATTTGCATACACTTTTACATAGACACACATCGGGCTCTGCCTAGCTTTGTGGCAGCTCATTTTCTGTGTGTATCAAGGACAGTGTTTTCACTCGAAATGAGGTTCTCCATTCATTCCTGGGACTCTAGAGGCAGACTCGTTAAGAATGCATAGCCAGCCTGCTCTTCTGCTCTGTGAAGGGTGTTAAATACTCACATACCACAGCTCTGCCAAGGAGCAAGGATAAATATGGCAGGTATGAAATGGGTCTAAATTGCTCTTGATGGCTCTATTCAATAATGTTGGTCTTTTCCTTACAGTGCTATATAACAATAGTCATTTTCAAAATGGGGTGCTGCAGTTGTTTTTAAGGAGGAGTTGACAATTTTGACCTACAGAGTAGTAATTTGCAAAATGTTCTTTCTTTGAGCCATTCACTGGGAAATGCGGGAAGCCCAGAAGTACAGAACTTGAGGCAAAAACGGCTGTAGCTAATGATAGCCTAAGTGCAGAGAGAGCACACAGGCTGTGCAGTGATGTTCTGGAGTCGGAACTGAGGCCAGGGAGAGGCAGAAGTGAGAGTTTCATTATAGACAATTGGGCTCAGAAGACCCTGAATAAATCTTATTTTACATCACTTTGCAGGCACACTTTACATTGTTGGCTCTGCACTTCACAGCCTCAAAATGGGATTCGATCCAGGGAAGTAACTGCATTAGACAAAGGGACAGTGGTTTCTAGAACCACTTACAATAGTTACCTGTTAAATGCTCTGAATCCCCCAGAACATGTGCTGAGTGCTTAGATTATTTATGCAAATTCATAGGAGTAGTCCAAGGAACTCTGCCTGATTTTGATTGCACTTGGAAATTACGGGTACAAATGATTTGTTCTTTCCTCTCTCATGCTTGTTTATGTGAGTACCCAAGTTGTGTATATTTTATGTATACTCATCTCAGGCACTTTTACATTATTATTATTATTATTATTATTGTTATTATCATTATTATTTGCTCCTGAGTGGGATATTCATTTCTGAATTTTCCATGTTTCTCCACCCTTGCACACCAACGTATGAAGGTAGACAGGCAATTCTGTCCCCTGACTTGATTGGTGGATGTGGTGGGTGGGAGAGAGAGTTCGTTCCAGGGCCCAAAGCAGAAGAGGCTTTGAAGACATTGCCTTCTCTGGCTTTGAATTTTCTGTAGCCTGAAGCCCTGAAGAAATGTCATTAAAGGCCTTTCAGGGTAACAAGGGGAGGGAAGAAGTGTTTTCTGTAGTCCAAGAAATAAGATTAGAGATCAGTCGGTCAGGACAGGAATGACAGGGTTAGTGAGAGTAGGAGTGCTCCCAGCCTGGTGGTAGCTCTGTAGAAGGAGCAAGACCCTAGGGGAAATCATTGCTTTGTATGACCAACCAGGAAAAGTCACATACAATTCCCAGCCTTAGTAGAAATTCCCTTACCTGTCATGCACCATGGAAGGAAGTACTGCTGGATCCCAAGGGCCTACTTTTTGGCATGACACCATGAAGATGTCAGTAGCAACCACGATGGGAGCTGGAGGCTTCCCTGCTGTTTTAGAAACATCATTTATGTGTCCACTTATTATAAACTTGGGAGGGAAGGAGGCTTCAGTAACAAATGAGATTGAATTTTTTGTTGACAATTATTTTCTTACCTTTTCAAAACTATATTTAAATGGATGTGAAGACCAATTAATAACAATAGGGAATAGAAAGCTGGGTGAGGAAAGGTATTTGGATCCCCAAAAGATGAAGGCCTTCAGGAGGAGATCAGTTGAGTAGGATTTCTGGTTCATCTTTTGGCTTCTATGTCTTCGAGATTTTATAACAGAACCTTCTGGGGAAGTCAGTGGGAAAGGCCACACAGGAGGCTCCAGGGCCTGCAGGGGCATGTAGCAAGGGTGCAGTGTGGACAAAGTGCTGGGTGTTCTCAGGAATGTGGTTAGGAGGATTGGACTGCTCTCAATTTTCTGCTTTTAAATTTACCATGGCCAGTGACAGGCTTTCAGGGTAAGGACAAAGCAGAACACTTCAGTGGGGGTGACATTAAAGTCCTAATGAGAGAACTTCATCATCTCTTGATTCTGTAAAGTAAAATAAGAATAAGAATCTGGGCTAGGCTCAGCCAAACATTATCAGTTAAAAACATTTAAGAATCGACAGCAACAGAAGACACGCTGGTGCTACCAGCCCTCCGCGTGTCTTCCTTTTTAATCCCTGTGCTTCTGTGTGCTGGCAGCTCTGTGCGGGGCATGGTGACTGCCCTGAGCATTAGTCAGGATGGGCTAAGTTACTGTGGTAACAGTAACGTCATATCTCAGTGGCTTAAAACAATAACATTTCTTTCTCTCTCACGTTACATCCTCATTGCACGTGGACTGGAGGCTCTGCTTCATGTCAACTTCACTCAGGCAGGGAGGGAGATTCCTTCTTCATGTTTCCCTGGAAAATGGGCCACTGTCCTGCTTTCAACACTTCAGAGCCCCAAGCTTTGGAGTGCCTTCCTTGAAATTGTCTGTGTCCCACTCTGGTGGCTGTGACCAGCAAGGGCTGGCAGGGTTCCCCGAGTTTGGATCTGCTGCCAAATGGGTCCCAGTTGTTGGAAATGCATACCTTGAAATTTTCTACGTCCCCATGCAGTACCTGGGACTGGCGGGGCCAGAGCTGGCAGAGCTATCTTGGTGGTGTACCCTGAGGACACCTCTGAGATGACTGTTGGTCCCAGTCCTGTTTCCTTTTGTGAGAGTACTTGCTGACCAGCTATCAAGTTTATGGGGTCAGCCAGATGCCCTGAGGACCATCTCACCTCAACCTTGCACCTATGGGTTCATGTTGAACCCAGCAGCCAGACCCAGGTTCCAGGAGAGAGGTCTGGAAAGTGAACCACTCCAGCTGGCCACCATGGTGCTTGTTTTATGGGCACTGGGGCACCAGAATGGTATGAAAATGCTGATTTGGGGTGACTCTCACTCACGTTAGATACAGGATGAATTCAGGGATCTGGGCTACTGACAGCCCACTGCTGATTCTTGCATTTGACCTGTGCATGTGGGTCCATGTACATCATGCATATTCCAATCACAGCTGCCTCTGGTCTGTGGCACCCAATGGGAGCAGGAGTGGTGATGGGGGTTCTTTATGCTGTACACTTTCTCATCACTGGCTACCAGGTGGTCACTCCACCCCCTCCACAGTCTCTATGACAAGGGTTTGGTAGTTCCCGGGGTTTTGTATTTTTCTCATCTGTTCTTTGTTCTCCTTATTTTTCTGCCTTCTTTTGGGTTGAGTATATTTTATGATTCCATTTTTATTTCCTTTGTTATCTTATTAGCTTTAACTGTTTGTTGTAGTATTTTGGTGGTTACTTTAGAATTAATTTATAGTATACATCTATAACCTATCACATTCTACCTTCAAGTAGAATATTATACCACTTCATGGATAGTATAAGAATCTTACAACACTTTAATACTTTCATTTTTTCCCTCCTAGCCTTTGCACTTTTGTTGTCAAACATTTTACTTCTACATATGTTAAAACCACCTACTACATTGTTACTATTATTATTATTTTGTTTTGAGACAGAATCTCGCTCTTGTCGTCCAGGCTGGAGTGCAGTTCCATGACCTTGGCTCACTACAACCTCCGCCTCACAGGTTCAGGCAATTCTCTTGCCTCAGCCTCCTGAGTAGCTGGGACTACAGGGGCGTGCCACCATGCCCAGCTAACTTTTTGTATTTTTAGTAGAGACGAAGTTTCACCGTGTTGGCCAGGCTGGTCTCGAACTCCTGACCTCAGATGAACCACCTGCCTCGGCCTCCCAAATCTGCTGGGATTACCGGTGTCAGACATCGTGCCCAGCCTATTTTTTACTTTAAATAATCAGTAATCTTTCAGATAGATTTAAATCATAAGAATTTTTTTTAATGTTTCTCCACATGATTGCTATTTTCAGGGCTCTTTGGTTCTTTGTGTACATCCAGATTTCTATCTGAAATAATTTTCCTTCTATGTGAAAAATATTCTTTCACTTTTATGATAGTGCAGGTCTGCTGATAATGGATTCTTTCAGCATTTGTATGTTTAGCATGTTTTTATTTTGCCTTCATTTTTGAGTGACATTTTCACTCATTATGGAATTCTAGGTTGACTTGTTTTTGTTTTTGTTTACCTTTCAGTACTATTAAAGCTGTTGCTGGCTGGGCACGGTGGCTCACGCCTGTAATCCCAGCACTTTGGGAGGCTGAGGTGAGTGGATCACCTGAGGTCAGGAGTTTGAGACCAGCCTGGCCAACATGGCAAAACACCGTCTCTACTAAAAACTCAAAAAATTAGCCGGGTATGGTGGTGTGTGCCTGTAATCCCAGCTACTCAGGAGGCTGAGGCAGGAGAATTGCTTGAACCTGAGAGGCGGAGGTTGCAGTGAGCCAAGATCATGCCATTGCGCTCCAGCCTGGGCAACAAGAGCGAAACTCCATCTAAAAAAATAATAATAATAATAAAATAAAATAAAGCTGTTACTCCATTGTTTTCTGGGTTCCATTGTTTCTGACTTAAAAATCCACTGCCACCTTATCTTTGTTTCTCTTTATGTGTACATCTTTATTTCTCTTAAGCTCTTGTCTTTGTTGTTGGTTTTTAATAGTACTGTGCTATGGTGTAGTTTTCTTCATGTTTTCTTGTGCCTCTTTGGAGTTCTTTGAGCTTCTTGGATCTGTAGATTGGTAGTTTTATCTATTTGGAAATTTTTTGATTACTAGTTCTTCCAATATATATTTTTATCTACCGTTCTTTCTCCTTTTCTTTGGAGTCTCGAATTACATGAGTATTATTCTACTTGAAATTGTCACACAGCTCATTAACATGCTATTCATTTTCTCCGTATTTTTTCCCTTTGGGTTTCATTTTGGACATTGTCTATTGGTGCATCTTCAAATCACTAACGCTTTGCATCTCACACCTCTTCCCCTAGAGCTTAATCTGCTGTTAAGCCCATTTAACGGATTTTTCGACTCAGTCATTTTAGTGTTTATCTGTAGAAGTTTTATTTGGCTTTTTGTACATCTGTATTTCTACTTAATATACCAAATCTTTCCTCTGTCTTACTGAACATTTAAAATACAATCACAATACCTATTTTAATGTCATTGACTGCTAATTCTATCATCTTTGTCATTTTTCAGTTGAGTTTTCTGCTCATTTTGGGTTATGTTTTTCTACTTCTTTAAATGCTTGCTAATTTTTGATTAGATGTCGGGAATTATAGATTTTATCTGTTGAAACCAGGTATTTTTGTGTCCCTATAAATGTCCTAAGGTTTTTCAGGGATGTAGTTAAATTACTTGGAAGTAGTTTGATTCCTTTGGTTCTTGCTTTCAATCTTTGTTAGGTAGGACCAGACAGATCGGAATTTATTCTAGGGCTAATTGTTCCCACCGCTGAGGTAAAATTCTTCTGTGTACTCTACTGATATCTTATGAATTACAAGCTTGACCTCACCCTGGTGGGGGTGCATCCTCCAGTAGTTTACTAAGAAGGGAAGGTATTTGAGAACTTACATATCTTAAAACAACTTTTATCCTACCCTTATATTTGGTTGATAGTTTTTCTGAGTATAAGCTCTGGTAGAAGTTGAAAAAAAATTTCTTTCAAGATCTGAAGGTATCATCCTATTGCTTCTAGCTTCTTGTACCGCTTGTAAAAATTCCAAACTCATCTGCTTCCTAACCCTTTGTGTGTGACCTGCTATTTCTTTCTGAAATGTTTTAGAATTGTCTATTTGTTCGAACTTCTCTAAAATTTTATTATGCTGAATATAGAGGTGTTTCTATCATTATCCATTTCCTTGGGCATTTGGTAAATGCTTTCTATCTGAAATTCTTGTCCTTTAGTTCTTAAAAATTTGCCTGAATTATTTTGCTAGTAATTTGTCTGTCATTTGTCTTTCTGGAAATTACATTGTTTGGATGTTAGACCTCATGACCTAGTAATTTTATCTTTTTAAATTAAAATGATATTTTTCATCTCTTTTCTTTTTAATTTCTGTGATTTAAAAAAGTTATCTTCTAAAGTTTCTATTACCTCATTTCCCATTTGCCCTGAGAAAACTGCACTGGCAGCTAGCTGCACTTTTTTTTTTCTAAATGGGAAATGAGTCCAGTTTCTTTGTTTCTGCTATTATGTTTCCCATTTCTAAGAGTTGTCTTTTGTTTTCTAATCTCCCCCTCCTCCTCCTCCTCCTCTTCTTCTTCCTCTTCTTTTTCTTCCCTCATTCTTCTTCTTCTTCCTCTTCTTCTTCTTCTTCCTTCTTCTTCTCCTGTCTTATTTTTTTCAAAGATGGATGCAATGTCTTTTCCTTTTCTGCCAGTGGTTCCTTTCTGTTTGCTTGTCACTTAGTTCTCTGCATTCCATGTTAGAGGCTGTCTTCACACGTCTGGTAGTCCTTGGTTGTTTGCTCAGGCTTAAGAGTCAAGTGACTTAAGAGATAATCACATGCTATGAATTATTTGATGTACTTCTGGACTGTGAGCTTCATTGTAGAAGGATCAGCTTGAAATATTTACCTGGGAACCTCTGGGATTGGTGTCATCAGTGTCTTCCTTTGGGCTGGTTGGGTTCTCCAGAAAAGGCTCTTCTAAACTTCTGCAGGGAAGGTGTGGCTGGTCACTAGTGTTCTGGAGTCCAGGAAGAAAGAAGGTGGTGAATGTTTAGTATGCAAGTTTCCTTAATACATCTGTTTCCCTTGTGCTACTCTGCCCTTAAGTGTGCATGGTGTTTCCTATTCACAGACAATCTTTTTTATTCTCCCCAGATAATAATTCTTCAGACCAGCTGAGATAGGGAAGAAGCAATTTCCCAATGGTTTGTAATTGGGAGTGGGGATCTATTTTTTTTTTTTTTTTAAGAATTTATTAGGTACCAGGCATGAGTATACATTCTTAACAAATCTTAACTTACAAAGAGAGAAATGTTAAAATCCCATTTCTCAGATACAAGAACTAAAGCACAGAGTGGTAAAGTAACTTGCCCAACACTACTTAGCCAGTAAATGGCCAGCTGGAATTGGGCTCCTTATTGTATCATCTTGACAATACCACACAGTCAGCTCCAGATCTGACAGTTACACAGCTTTCAAATGATCCTCCTTTTCTTAGCTACCTCCTCCATTCTACCCCACTTCCAGAGGTGACACCTGGTGCTGCCAACTCTGAAGCCTTTTGAGGATTCTGCATTCTTCTTTGGATTGTTTCTTGGCTCTCCCTACTGTTGGCTTAGAACTGCCAAGTCAGTTACCATTCACCCATCTGCTTTCCAGCCTCCAATATCAGGGGGATGTTGTCTTCTCTCTTCGTCTCCCTGCCTTTTGAGTTTATTCTTTTTAAACAAAATCTCCTTGCTGTAGTTTCAGTGGGATTACGAGAGAGGGTGCTTTAGATGCATGTGCTCAATCTGCCATCTTTACCTTAAAATCTTGGGATGGAAGTTTCCACCACCCTGGTGTGAAGACAGATTTAATTTGAATCACAGGTTATGGAGAAATGAATGTTTCTTGCACTCTTAAATTTGTGGATACAACTTATTCTGTTTCATATGCTCTGATACATATTCTTCTTCTTTTTTTTTGAGACGGAATCTTGCTCTGTCACCCAGGCTGGAGTGCTGTGGCGCGATCTTGGCTCACTGCAAGCTCCGCCTCTCCGGTTCACGCCATTCTCCTGCCTCAGCGTCCCGAGTAGCTGGGACTACGGGCGCCCGCCGCCACGCCCAGCTAATTTTTTTGTATTTTTAATAGAGACAGAGTTTCACCGTGTTAGCCAGGATGATCTCGATCTCCTGACCTCATGATCCGCCTGCCTTGGCCTCCCAAAGTGCTGGGATTACAGGCGTGAGCCACCGCGCCCGGCCCTGATACATATTCTTATGTCTCTGAGGAATTCACACGTGTGTCTCTGTAATTTGGACATTTTGGGGATGTGTTCATGTTTCTTAAGCAGAAAATGACTCCTCAACCACCCAATCTCCACATACACATTAATGAGCTACCAAATCTTGTGAAGAATATTAACCTCTGTGGCTTTAGCTTCCTCATTGGCAGTATCCTCTTTTCCTTAAGGAATAAGCTGGCCCGTGCATCTGGCATCCTTCTGCCCCTGGCATGTTTGATTTTATGAGTCTGTGAGATTACTTAGTATATAGTGCACCCCATGTTTGCAATTTTTCCCTCTGGTGGAGGTTTCCCATGTGTGGTCCCTTTGTTTCCTGGACACAGGCATAGGTCCTTGCCAGCTGTCAGGCTTCTTCTCATCCCACTCGTCCAAAAAACTAATGTCTTGGCAGGTTTTGTGCTGAATTCAACCTCAGTTACAGCCACTTACTGACCTTCTACTCAGTGGCAGGTGCTCTCTTAACACATGCAGCACACAGAGATGAACTAGTCAAGTCCTGCTGTCCAGAAGCTAGTGATCCAGCAGGGAAGACAAACACATAGCTCAGTATCATACTAAGAAATAGGTTCTTTGATAGCAGTGAAAATAAAATGTGCTGGAAGAAGCACAGGGAAAGAGTGATGAATTTTGCCTGTAGGGATGAGGCAAAGCTTCATACACACTGTGACACATGCATCAGTTCTCACGGGAAAGTACGAATGTTCTAGGCTATAGAAATAGTGTTGGCAAAGGGGGGATGATGTGGGAGAGAGGGAGAAGAGGGAGAGCAGGGAGTGAAGTACAGTGAACATGTGTTGCTATTTTCTGCATATCAGGAGCCTAGATAGGCATGGTGGCAAAGAGGTTATCCTGAGAGAAGAGAGAAGGTTGGCTGAGCAAAAGCTAGTTACCTGGTTGAAGCCTCATTCTGGAGTTTGATTGCCTGGTTTGCAAACTTAGTTTCATCACTTACAGACCCTGTGACTCTTGGAAAGTTGCTTTACCCTTTGATATGGTTTTGCTCTGTGTCCTTGCTTGTATGTCATGTCCAGTTGTAATCCCCAGTGTTGAAGGAGGGGCCTGGTGGGAGGTGATTGGATCATGGGGGCAGATTCTCCCTTGCTGTTCTGGTGATAGTGAGTGAGCTCTCATGAAATCTGGCAGTTTAAAAGTTTGTAGCACCTCTCGCTTTGCTCTCACTTTGCTCTCTTCCTCCAGCTCCAGCTATGTGTAAGATGTGCCTCCTTCCCCTTTCCCTTCTGCCGTGATTATAAGTTTCCTAAGGCATCCTCAGCCATGCTTCCCATACAGCCTATGGAACCATGAGCCAATTAAAACTATTATCTTTATCAATTACCCAGTTTCAGGAATTTCTTTATAGCAGTGCAAGAATGGACTAAGATACCCTTTCTTCAGTTTCCTTATCTGTAAAACAGGAGAGATTATACAAATAAAACAAACTGATGCATGTAAATATTTTTGCACAGTATATGACACATAGGTTAAGTGCTCAAATGATGGCTTTAATTTTATATGCCTGTTTATCTTTTCATCCTTCTATTCAACTATCCACTTCTCTTTATGTCTTTTCTTGTTGTACAAAGGTTTTGACAGACAGAAAAAGGTATTGAAGGGCTCTCAGGGAGAGTACGATGAGTTCAGTTTTAGATGTTATGAGTTTGCTGTGCCTGTGGGATACTCAAGTGGTGATGTCAAACAGAGATTTTGAAAATTTGGTTCCAGGTGTTCATAGGAGAGGTCAGAGTTGGAGATATGGATTTGTGAGTGACAGGTGAAGTCAATGGCGGGAATGAGATTAGAATTGGAGGGGAGATTGGGAATGAAGTCTAGGGCATTAGTACCTTGATGAACTTCTCCATTTCAAAGTAGAAAGAGGAAGAGGAGAGAGGGAAGGTGTATTACTCTGCTTGGGCTGCCATAACAAAATACCAAATACTGGACAGCAGCATAAACAACAAGAGTGTCTTGTTTCACAGCTCTGGAGGCTGAAAGTCCAAAAATCAAGGTCCACAGGGTCAGGCTCTGTTGAGGACTCTTTTCTTGGCTTGCAGATGGCCACCTTCTCATTGCATCATCATGTGGCCTGTTTTTGTTGTGTGCAAACAAGGAGATGGAGGGAGAAGCAGGAAGAAAGAGAAAGTGGGAGAGAAAGAGCTCTCTGGTGTCTCTTCTCATAGGAACACTAACCGCATCTGATCAGGGCCCCACCCTTATTACCTCATTTAACCTTGACTATCTCCATAAAGTTGCTATCTTCAAACACAATCACATTGGAGGTTGGGACTTGAATTGTGTACCCCCTCCCCTAACTCATATTAGGGGAGGGGGGACCCAATTCAGCTCATAGCAGAATGTGACTTAGAAAAATAGAAGAGGTAAGGAAGAATTTGAGGGACAGCAGGGAAACTGGGGGATGAGAGAAGTTCTTGAAAATGCAAGGCCAACAATGTCAAAAGATGCAGTAATAATAATAAAAAAAGAATAGCTACAATGTCATGTGTAACTATTGTGGGTAACCCTTTACATGAGTTACTTCGTAATTCCTCATATCATCCTGTGCTGTCAGTCCCTTTTTGAGTTGAAGAAACTGAAGTTGGTAGAAATTGAGTAATGTGATGGCGCTTCCCCAGCTGGTTAGTGGAGAGCCAGTTTTCAAACATGGGTTTCTGATCCCAAGTTGTGTATTATTTCCATTGTGCTCAGTTGCTCTCCTGGCGGGAGGTTGATGTTGAGAAGAGGTCACAGGGTTGGAGGGGTTTTGGGATGGGTCAGTGATGGTATGAGAAAAAGGGTGCTGGTCTAACTTAGGCCCATGGGCTATATTTTCTGACCCTTGCTAAGAGAAACATAACTGTGACTGTAAAGAGAGAGGGAGGTTAGTGGCTGGTTAGGGATGGGTCAATGGTGGTATGAGAAAAAGAAGGGCAGGTTTCAGGATGTGGGTTATACGGGGAAGTGGGGAAGTGCAGCCTGGTAAATCTTAGACCATTGTGCGGATTGTAAGTGCCCTTTGACATGTTGTCTATTCATGGGAAAGATGACTCTATAGTCAGTAGCTCTAGGAAGCCCAGCATTCTGTGTTTCTTGGTATCAGAACGCATTTGCACAACATTGGATGTTTTCTTCCCTACCCTTGCTTATTGGAGCTGCATCGCTGGCCAAAAGCTCTGCATGGGTTTTGACTGCAGGCAGGTGCAACCCAACAGCACCTCACCTCAAGCATGCACCTGTACCTGATGCTGCCTGCTGTCACCATGGGTCTCTTCTCTGGTTCCCACAGGTTGTTGGATACATTTCCCCCTGATTCCTGCATTACACACAATCCTGCAACGTGGTGTACACAGGAGCCAGCATCTGCCCCCTAGTGGCAGCCAACTTGGCAGTGCAGCCTCATTTTCCCTCTCTGCTTCCCCCGCCTTGTCCCTGTCATGCTCCTTGGGATTGTACTTCCTAACAAGGCACATAAGTCTTCCTAAATAGTGCAGAAATCTTCTGCCTCAGGCTCATTTCTTTTGAAAATGAAGCTTTTACATGCAGGCCATAACACCCCTTCCTTTAGAGATTCACAGTGTGTGTAAGCATAATATAGTTTCTTTTTTTTTTTTTTTTTTTTGAGACGGAGTCTCGCTCTGTCGCCCAGGCCGGACTGCGGACTGCAGTGGCGCAATCTCGGCTCACTGCAAGCTCCGCTTCCCGGGTTCACGCCATTCTCCTGCCTCAGCCTCCCGAGTAGCTGGGACTACAGGCGCCCGCCACCGCGCCCGGCTAATTTTTTGTATTTTTAGTAGAGACGGGGTTTCACCTTGTTAGCCAGGATGGTCTCGATCTCCTGACCTCATGATCCACCCGCCTCGGCCTCCCAAAGTGCTGGGATTACAGGCGTGAGCCACCGCGCCCGGCCTGCATAATATAGTTTCTAAGAATTTTTACAGAAAAAGCCTCTGCATAATCCAGAGAGCCCTAAGCTTATTAAACTTTGAGTCTCTTTTTTTATTTTAAATATTACACTAATTCAACTCCAAGGATTATAGTGTTCTACAATGTATGGGACACAGATTGAGTTTAGCTTGTGTAGTCTATTTCCAAGGGAAGGGATCAGCAAACATTTCCCTATAATGGGCCATATAGTAAATATTTAAGGCTTTGCAGGCCATAAGGTCTCTGTCGCCACTACTGAACGCCAGCATTGTAGCCAGAAGTAGGCATAGATAATGGAGAAATGAATGGGCATAGCTTTATTTACAAAATAAGGTGGTGGGCTGAATTTGGCCCATGGGCCATAGCTTGCTGACCCCTGCTAAGAGAAACATAAGTGTGAATGGAAAGAGAGGGAGGTTAGTGGCTGGTTAGGGAAAGACAGCAGAACTGAAATGAGGGAAAAATGCAAGGAAACTGAGGGTGATCTCCTCTCACTGCTAAGTGTCTCTCACCTTTCTTCGTGTGCCTCCTGAATTCCTTGATATGGTCAACAGAGCAAGCATAGAAAATAACCTCTCACCCTTCTTTGTGTGCTTCCTGAATTCCTTGATATTGTCAACATAGCAAGCATGGAAAATAACCTCTCACTTTGCCTATAATCTGTTTGGCATGATCAAGGTAGGTCAGCTGTTCAGAGTCACCTTTGACCTCCCTGCCCTTGTACATAGATGTACAGCATTTCCAGAGTCCTTCTCAGCCCTGCGTCATCAGGAGTTGATGAAAGCCTATTATTCTTGCCCATTGCTAGCATTGATCTTATGGCTCTGCCTCCCTAAGCAGGCTGCTTGTTGGTGTAATGCATCTTGGGGCAATCTATGGTGCCAGGCCCAATGGAAGAGGGGCCTGAGCGGCTCTTCCCAACCCCGGCTGGGCTTGTGGGTGTGTAAACAAGCTGTGTGGTGCAGAGCATCAAGTGTGCCCAGCATGTCCTACTTTTTTTTTTTTTAACATTTTTCTTTTCATAGTCAAGACAATAGGAATATATCATTAGGCTGATTCCAGCTTAGATATATGAGAACTGAGAAGAGGATGAATGGTAGCGGGGAGGAAAATTCATAGGCAGCCAGCACCTGCTGATGCCAGGCCCCTTAGTAGGCACTTTGCATGCTATCTCATGTAATCTTCAGAGTCTTTGAGTAAATGCTGTTGTTTTTATCTTTCTGAAGAATCAGAGATGATATATATCTTGCCCAAAGTTATATGGCTAGCATGAAGGGTAGCAGCAATAAAATTCCAGAAAGGCAACACTAACGCCTGTGCAATTCTTTCTACCTCTCACTGAGACATGCCTGCTACTTGGCATGTCTGAAAATGAAGTCCCTGTGGCACTGAGTCAGTTTCTTCCACATGTGAAGGAGTGTATGACACTGCTGTCAAGTGTAGATACATGCTGAAATTTAAGTGTGAAACCAGCTCCCTTTCAAGTTGTTCTCATGTTCTCTCATAGAACATGAGAGAAGCTATGTCTCTATTTCTCCATTCCTGGTAGCTGAACTAACTTGCCCACTCCTTGCAGCTCAACCTTAGACCTTTGGAGCAACCGTATTCAGAGAGGGTTGTGTAGAAAGAGAGTAGAGTCCATGAAACTCAAATGCCTACGTGACTAGTACAGAGCCAGCTTTTGCAGAATTGCTCTCAACAAGCTCTTTTCTCATATGCTGTTTGCATGATTTATTATTAAAATCAATGGCATTGTACTGTATCAGCTTGTCAAACCAGGGACTGACGATATGTAAAATGAACATGAAAGAAGCCATGTATGGGATGAGCAGAAGGCAGGCCTACCAACTCTAAAATGATGGGTGAGCTGAAATTTTGATGCTTCTGGTGGAGTAGTAGGCATCAGATCTGATCGAATCTGCTCTCTTGGGGACAATGAATGCTAGGTGAACTATGAGAAAGAATTTTTTTTTTAAATTCAGATTCTTATCTTTGAGGATGTGAAGACTTGTTCTGGCTTCCAAGGAAGCTAGTTTGACAGATGACAGTTATGGAACATCTAGGTGGGAAGTGGGGCTGTGGAGAACTTCCTCTGTGCTTTCTGGCAAGTCTCTGTTGTTGAAGATTATTGCAGTGCCTGCTCACTGAATTCCCAGGACATGTATGTGGCAGGCGGGAGCAGAATCTGGGGTGTACACTCCACTCTTGATCAAAACCATTAGACTTAGTGCTGAGGCCCACTGGAGAAGCCCCTGACACCGACAGCCAGCTCTCCCATCTTGGGACTGACATTTTGCTTGGCTTTGGCCTCTGACTGCCCTGATCCTGCCCACAGAAGTGACTGGATGTTGACTCTGCTTTGATTTGGATTCGTGCTCTTGATGGGAGGTGTCCATATGAGTATCCGTGAGATGGTAGAAAGGAAACTATGATGCATAAATGTGCACCACCACATGTATTCATCAGAGGTCCCCAGAGAAACAGAGCCAATAGGATATATACAGATATACATATGGGGAGGTTTATTGCAGGAATTGTCTCTTGTGGTTATGGAGACTAAGAAATCCCATGATCTGCTGTCTGTAAACCACAGACCCAGAAAAGCTGCTGGTGTAATTCAGTCCAAATCTGAAGCTTGAGAACAAGGAGCACCCATGTCTTCAGGCAAGAGAAGATGGATATCTCAGCTCAAGCAGAGAGACTGAAGCTGACATTCCTCTACCTTTCTGTTCTATTCAGACTCTCGACAGAATGGATGATGCTCATTCATATTAATGAGGGTGGATCTTCTCAGTCTACCAATGCAAATGCTAATCTCTTCCAAAAACACCCTCATAGACACACCCAGGAATAATGTTTTACCAGCTGTTGGGAATTCCTTAGTCCAGCCAAGTTGACACATAAAATGAACCACCACACCATGGGAATTGGTGGCTGTGTTAACTGGCAGAGCCTTCACAACAACACATGTTGGGTGCTCTGGCTCAGAGGCAGATATGAGTTAACTGAAAATAGTATAGGATGAGACCTGGGGGAAGTGATTAAACAATGGCCAGGCCTCCTCCTGATCACAGTTCTTGAGAATGGAGAATTCACCTCTAGCTTCCTGGGTTCATCTCACTCTAACATACATAAATGTCCAACAGTACCTTTATTTGTAATAACCCCAAACTGGAAACAATCCAAATATTCATCAATAGATAAGTGTGTAAACAAAATGGGGTACACCCATACAATGGAATACTACTTAGCAATAGCAATGAATAAACTACTGATCCACGGGACAGCATGGATGAATTGCAAAGTAATTATGTTGAGTGAAGGAAGCCAGACAAAAAGAGAGTACATAGTCTGTGATTCTAATTAGATAAAGTTATAGAAAATGCAGACTAAGCTACTATGACAGAAGGCTGGGAATGACAGGGACCAGGAAAGGGATGGAGGAATAAATTATAAAGGAGCAAGAAGAAACTTTGGAGGATGTTGAGATGTTGAATATGTTCATAATTGTGATGTGGTGTTGGTTTCATGGGAGTGAACACTTGTCAAAACTTATCAAACTATATTTTGAACATGTGCAACTTATGGTATGTGAATGATACCTCAACGAAAGTTTGTTTTAAAATCCAACTTGAAAGCCAACTTCCTTGGGCTCCACCTGTCCTCATATCAAAATTATGCCTTTCCTCTTTTTTCTACCTTCTCCAGCGGACTTCCTGAGGCCAGTGCAGGCACTAGGTTCATCTGGTTTATTATTATTCTAACGATGTCTGGCCTTAGAAAGAAATATAAATACTTATTGGCTGATAAATGCAAAGGCATGGATTTCGGGTTAGTTGTGCCCATGCTTGGATTGCTGCTCTGTCACTCATGAATGAATTTACGATCATTATGCTAAGCCTTTGTTCATTTATAAATTAGGGATAATCTGCCTCACAGAGTCATTGTGAGGAGTAAGTGTGAAAATGTTAGTGATGCACTCAGCAGAATGTTTAGCACCCCCAAGCTTTCATTCATGCTCCATTCCGCCTTAACTGGGGGCTCAATGGGGGATGTTAATGTCCGGCCCTGATGCCCACAAGGGAGACAATAAAAAAAAACCAATATTTTTGAAAAAATATGCCCAGAAGTGTGGAGCATACTGGACTGTTTCCTCCTATTCCTGAATGAGGCTCTTAGGCTGGGAATGCCCCAGAAAGCAAGGAGGTGGTTCCTCTGCAATGTACAGTCAATTGGGTTAGGGGCAATCAATGCCAAAGCATTCCTATAGAAACTCTTGAGAATCCAAGGTTAAACGTTGGGAGCCAGTGGAAACAGCATTAATCTTTCTAAAGTCACTATTGTGAAATTTTAGGACTGGTGTTCCCTAGAGAAGGGGCAGGTTGGATTTCTGAGTGCTATGTTCTGTATGTTTGTATCACCTCAAAATTAATATGTTGAAACCTAGTCACCAATGTGGGAAGTAATTAGTCACAAGGGCAATGCCATTATCAATAGGATTAGTGCCCTTATAAAAGAGCACTAGAGAATATTAGTGCCCCTAGAAAAGAGATCTCAGCTGCTTTGCCCCTTCTGCCATTTGAGAACACAATGAGATGCCGTTAATAAACCAGGAAGCAGGCTCTTGCTAGATGCTGAATCTGCTGGCACTTTGATCCTGGACTTCGCAGCCTCTAGAACTGTGAGGAAAAAATTTGTGTTGCTTTATAAGTGATCCAGTTTATGATATTTGTGCTATAGTAGCCCAAACAGACTGAGGCACTGAGTCACCTCCAACCCCGGCTGACTCCACACCTTCCTGGGTGGGGGATCATGCCTTCATTAGTGGCCCCTGGCACTAATCCTGATCTTGCCTTGGTTTAAAGTCCTGAGGATGGGCCAGGTCTTATGAAACATGCACATTCCCGAGGAAGGCAAAGTGACTGAGGGAGGGCAAAGGGGAGCTGAGCTCTACCGCAAGTGGAACTGAAGAGGAGGGTAATGGGCCCTTCACATATTATGACAGACAAATCAATATCTTAGCACTTTTGTTCCTCCTCTATATCTGAGATCAATGGAGAGAAAAACACTTCAAATTATATTATTACTATACACCTAAAAGGGGAAATACAAAATAATTCTGAGATAAAGTATTTCTGGTTATTTTAAGATAATTTTCTGAAACCCAGGTAATTACTGGGTCACTAATAGATAAGGAAAACCAGGGTGATGAAAGATATTACATAACTTAATTCTGGCTCTGTTCTGATTTTGGATCGTTATAGCTTAAACAGTAAATCCTGAATAACTCCATGAATTTCCACTGTTAAGTAGAAGAACAGAGAGAAACCCTTAGGGGCTTCTCTTTGAGAAAAGACTAAAAAAATTTACTATAGAGTTATAATTTAGATAAGAAATAACAAGAAACATTATAATAGATAAAGAGTCTCACATGTTTGTTCTGTTATATCATTGAAGAAAAGGTATCCAACCATCCTGAGAAGTAGGTGAGAATGTGTTATTCGGGGAAAAAAGAGCCACTTTAAAACTGAGTGAAAGCAAGACAAGCTGTACCCAGACTCTTAAAAGGTCATCAGGTCACATCTCTCTCTTAGTTTGAAGGTTAAAAGACAGAACAATTAAAAATAACAATAGCTACAATAATTTGTTAAGAAATACACAACATAAAATGTAAATTGTATCATCAAACATTTGAAGTTCAGGAGAGTGGTGTAAAAGTGCAGAGCTTTTTTTATGCCATGAAAGTTAAGTTGTTATCAGACTAAAATAGCCTGTTCTATCAGATGTTTTTTGTAAGCCTCATGGTAGCCACAAAGCAAAGACCTACAGTGGATAGACAAAAGGTAAAATGTCAGGATTCCAAGCATACCCCTAGAGAAAATCACTTAATCATAAAGAAAGACAGCAAGAAAAGAAAAGAAAAAAAGGATCTACAAAACAACCAGGAAACAATGAACAAAATGGCAGTAGTAAGTTCTTACCTATTAATAATTACCTTTGTGATATCAAGATATAAATTTTTTGATTTTCATCAGCGGTTTCTGGCTTACAGCTCCTATAACCCTCATATTTTCCTAGGTGATTAGAGAAATAAGAGTATCTTTTGTTGCCAGGCATGGTGGCTCATGCCTGTAATCCCAGCACTTTGGGGGGCCGAGGCAGGTGGATCACCTGAGGTCAGGAGTTCGCGACCAAACTGGCCAACATGGTGGAACCCTGTCTCTACTAAAAATACAAAATTAGTCAGGCATGGTGGTGCATCCCTGTAATGCCAGCTACTTGGGAGGCTGAGGGAGAAGAATTGCTTGAACTGGGGAGGCAGAGATTGCAGTGAGCTGAGATTGCACCATTGCACTCCAGCCAGAGGAAGGAGAGCAAAACTTCATCTCAAAAAAAAAAAGAATATCTTTTGTTAAAATATTGCCTTTTTTCCTGGGTTCTTGAGACAGCTCCAGAACAGCTGCAGAGCAATATAGGTGAGATATAGTCTTTTACTGTTTCTAACAAACCTCTTTCAACCACATCTGAGTTTATGTTAATGAGGTGAGTTTTGCAAATTTCCTAGATAACCATAGGTTTGTAGGTGGGTTGCCATGCACAATGTGCTAAAAGGATTGGAACTCATAGCACCATCCTCACCTCAGGGGAGGAGAAAAGGGGCTGAAGGCTGAACTGACCACCAATGGATGATGATTCAATTAATCATGCCTGCATAATGAAGCCTCTATAACAACTTTAAAGGACTGAATTCAAGGAGCTTCTAGGAAGGTGAACAAGAACATCTCCACGCATCAGGAGAGTGTTCACACGTCAACTCCGTTGGGATGAAAGGTCCTTTTCTTGGGACCCTTCCAGACCTCACCTTGTGTATCTCTTCATCTGGCTGTTCATTTTTATCCCTTAAAATACACTTTATGATAGACAAGTAAGTGTAAGTGCTTCCCTGAGTTCTGTGTGCCGCTCTTGCAAATTACTCAAATACTAAGAAAGTCATGGGAATCTTGATTTATAGTCAGTTGGTCAGAAGCACAGGTAAAACAACTTGGGGCGGGCTTGTGATTGGTGTTGGAAGTAGGAGGCAGTTTGGGGAAAGATCCCTCAACCTCTAAGAGATCTGATGCTATCTCCAGGTAGATAGTATTGGTAATGAATTGGAGAGGACCCAGCTGGTGTTCTGCTGCAGAATTAATTGCTTCCATAATATATGGGAAAAAACTCACACACATCTGGTGTCAGAGTTGTGTTGTGAGAATGAAGTGGCCACAATGACAGAGACATGGAGGCTAGATAAAGTGTCATGGACTAAGATTTAAAATGGCCAGTCAAGAAACTCTCCTCTGGATGTCCTACCTGCCAGCAAGAGAACCTATGCTCTGCTCCTGGGATGATGGTATTCTTTGAAGAGATTCATTTTCCACTTGGTGGTAAGTTGACTATATTGTTCCCTTCTATTCTGGAAGAGCTGGAGTTTTATCCTCTCAAGAGTGGATATCTAAGGATCGTCTTTCCAACTCGCAAACCTTAGATAATTATCGATAGAATTTCATATAACACAGCATTTGACCAGGGAACCAACTTTCTAGTCAAGGAGGTGTGGGAGTAGACCACTGACCTTGGGATCTACCAGTTGTACTGGATACATCATCACTCAGAAGCTTTCATCCTGATAGATTGTTGGAATGGCCTGCTGAAGGCACAGATGAATCACTGTTCAAGAAAAATACTCTGCAAAGATGGAGTACCATTCTTCAGAAAGTGGTACATGCATTGAAACAGAGAATTTTATGCAATGCTGTGTCCTCAACAGGAACAACAGATAAGTCAGAGAAACAAGGGGTGGAAGCAGGAGAGGCCCTACATGACACCATTGCTAATGTCTCAGTGGAGGAATTTGTGATTTCTATGTGCAGCTCTGAGCTTTGCAGAGTTAGAGGCCTCTGTCCCCCAGAAAGATACATGTTCACCAGCAAGGGTACAATTGAACTAAAATTTATGGACGCTGTATGGACCCACTGGGTTAACTGTGTCCAGAAATCAGCAGGCAAGAAGGGAGTCCTTGTTTTGTAATTGATTCTGATCTGCAAAGTTATCACCTCAACATTGAGGGCAGAAAGAATTTAGAATGGATAGTACAGAAGGGAGATGATGAATACCAATTGCAACCTGAATACCACCTCTAGCAATGAAGCCTGTGGTTCATCTCACTCTCTTTCCTCTCCTAAGTTTCTTCTAAGGAAGAGAGGCTCACTAGAGCCCTGAAGGAGCTGCTCTCTGGACATGTATGGAAAAGTCAAAGTGCAATGCACAAAAGGTGGACAATGGTAGACATGGAGGTGTGTCTACAGGAGAATGCCTGTAAAGAGAGGACTTCCCATCCAGTTGAGCAGATGTGGTCTCCTTCAGGATTTGTCTAAGCATATATTTTAAAATCAGATTTACTAAGGGAAAGTGTCTACATTAAATTCAAATTCTTCCTTCTAAACTTCTAAGAGTTTTGAAAAATGCATGCAGTTGTGTAGCCGCCAATAAAACCAAGATAAGGAACATTTTTATTACCTCAAGAAGTTATCCTGTGCCCAATAAAATCAATATAAAGAACATTTCTGTCACCTCATAGTCAATTTCTCCCCATACCTCCATATCCTGACAATCAGCGATCTGTTTTCTGTAGGTATTTTTGACTTTAAAAAGGGTAATAAATGGAATCACTCTGTATATAATCTTTTGAGCTTGTTTTTTTAATCAGGTAGCATAATACATTTGAGATTCATCTATGTCATGTTTATCAGACATAGATGAATCCTTTTTAGTAGGCATTGTATTCCATTAAATTGATGCATTCCATTATATAATGAACCACTGTTTGTTTGTGCATTTTCCTCTTTAAAGACTTTTGGGCATTTCCTGGTTTTGGTGATTATGAATGAAGCCACTATAAACCCTTGTTACCAGTTTTTCTATGAATATATGTTTTCATTTCTCTTGGGTAAATATCTAAGGATGAAATTGCAAGGCTGTTTATCAAATGTGTTTCATTTTAAAAGAAATGGCCAAACCATTTTCTAAAGTGGCTGTGTCATTTTGGATTTCCACTAATGGTGCATATGTGTTCTAGTTGCTTTATATTCTTCCCAGAATTTGGTATTGTCATTTTCTTTCTGGTAAATATTAGCCATCCTAATGGGTTGTGTAGTGGGATGTTATTGTTGCTTTAATTCAAATTTTTCTAATGATGAATAATGTTGAGCATCCTTTCATATTTTCATTTGCCATTTGAATATCTATTTTAGTGACTTATCTGTTTAAATACCTCCTCCCTTTTTACTGTGCTATTTAATTTCTTACTATTGAGTTTTGAGAGTTCCTTATGTTTTCTAGATTCAGTTCTTTATCAAATCTCTAATTTGCAAGTATTTTCTCACTGTCTATGTTTTTCTTTTTTAATTAATAGAATTTTTTTCAAAGCAGTTTTTAAGTATATAGAAAATTGAGCAAATAATACAAAGAGGTTCCATATACTCCCATCCCACCTCACAGTTTCCCCTGGTATTAGCATCTTGCATTACAGTGATACATCTGTTACAAATGATTAGCCAATATTGATACATTATTCTTAAATAAAGCCTATGGGTTATATTAGGGTTCACTTTGTGTTGTACATTCTATAGGTTTTGACAAATACGTAATGTCATGCATCCACCATGACAGTGTCATACAGGATAGTTTCAGAGTCCTAAAAATTCCCTGTGCTCTACCTATTCATCCCTCTCCCTCTTTTCGACAATCCCTGGTATTTACTGATCTTCTCAGTGCCTATAGGTTTTGCCTTTTCCAGAATGCCATATAGTTGGAAATGTATAATATATAGTCTTTTCAGACTGATTCTTTCACTAAGCAATATGCATTTAAGATTCCTCCATGCCATTTTGTGATTTGATAGTTCATTTTTATTATTGAATCAGATTCTATTGTATGAATGTATAATAGTTTGTTTATCCATTCATGTTTGAAAAATATTAATTTTTAATTACCATGGATATATAATATGTGTATATATCCCATTCATCTTTTTAAGGTCCATTTGATTACTTCTAGATTTTGAAAATTATGAATAAAGCTACTATAAATGTTCACGTGCAGGTTTTTGTGTGGACATAAGTTTTCAACTCATTAGGGGAAATACCTTGGAGTGCAAAGATTAAATTGTACGGTAAGTCTTTTAGCTTTGTAAGACACTGCCAAACTGTCTTCCAGTGTGATTATACCATTTTGAATTCCCATCAAATGAATGAGAAGTTTCTGTTCCTATTGCTCCACATTGGTACTATCATTTGGTATTGTGTTGGTTTTTTGTTTTTTTTTTTGAATTTTAGCCATCTTAATAGGTGTGTAGTAGTATCTCATTGCAATTACCTAATCATATAGGATGTTGTACATCTTTTTATATACTTATTTGCCATCTGTATATCATCTTTGTTGAAATGCCTGTTCAGATCATTTGTCAATTTTTAAATTAGGCAGGAGAGAAAAAAGCCCCTTCCAAGAAGCCCGAATAGGAACTGCAGCTCCCAGCGTGATTGACGCAGGAGACAGTGATTTCTGCATTTCCAGCTGAGGTACCTGATTCATCTCATTGGGACTGGTTGGACAGTGGGTGCAGCCCATGGAGGGCGAGTTGCAGCAGGGCGGGGCATTGCCTCATCTGGGAAGCACAGGGGTCAGGGGATTTTCCTTTCCTAGCCAAGGGAAGCCGTGACAGACTGTACCTGGAAAATCGGGACACTTCCACCCTAATACTGTGCTTTTCCAACAGTCTTAGCAAATGGCACACCAGGAGATGATATCCTGCAACTGGCTTGGTGGGTCCCATGCCCATGGAGCCTTGCTCACTGCTAGCGCAGCAGTCTGAGATTAACCTGTGAGGCAGCAGCCTGGCAGGGGGAGGGGTATCCGCTATTGCTGAGGCTTGAGTAGGTAAACAAAGTAGCCAAGGAAGCTGAAACTGGGTGGAGCCCACCGCAGCTCAGCAAGGCCCTCCGTAGACTCCACCTCTTGGGGAAGGGCATAGCAGAACAAAAGACAGCAGAAACTTCTGCAGACTTAAAAGTCCCTGATGACAACCCTGAAGAGAGCAGTGGTTCTCCCAGCACGATGTTTGAGCTCTGAGAATGGACAGACTGTCTCCTCAAGTGGGTATCTGACCCATGTGTAGCCTAACTGGGAGACACCTCCCAGTAGGGGCCGACTGACACCTCATACGGGCAGGTGACCCTCTGGGACAAAGCTTCCAGAGGAAGGATCAGGCAGCAATATTTGTTGTTCTGCAATATTTGCTGTTCTGAAGCCTCCGCTAGTGATACCCAAGCAAAAAGGGTCTGGAGTGGACCTCCAGCAAACTCCAAAAGACCTGCAGCTGAGGGACCAGACTGTTAGAAGGAAAACTAACAAACAGAAAGGAATAGCATCAACATCAATAAAAAGAACATCTATACTAAAACCCCTTCTGTAGGTCAACAGCATCAAAGACCAAAGGTAGATATAACCACAAAGATGGGGAGAAACCAGAGCAGAAAAGCTAAAAATTCTAAAAACTAGAGCACCTCTTTGCCTCCAAAGGATCGCAGCTCCTTGCCAGCAATGGAACAAAGCTGGATGAAGAATGACTTTGATAAGCTGACAGAAGTAGGTTTCAGAAGGTCAGTAATAACAAACTTCTCCAAACTAAAGGAGGATGTTCAAACCATTGCAACGAAGCTAAAAACCTTGAAAAAAGATTAGACGAATGGCTAACTAGAATAAACAGTGTAGAGAAGACCTTAAATGACCTGATGGAGCTGAAAACCATGGCATGAGAACTATGTGACACATGCACAAGCTTCAATGGCTGATTAGATCAAGTGCAAGAAAGGGTGAATCGAAGGGTGATTGAAGATCAAATTAATGAAATAAAGTGAGAAGAGAAGTTTACAGAAAAAAGAGTAAAAAGAAACAAACAAAGCCTCCAAGAAATATGGGACTATGTGAAAAGACCAAATCTATGTTTGATTGGTATACCTGAAAGAGATGGGGAGAATGGAACCAAGCTGGAAAACACTCTGCAGGATATTATCCAGGGGAACTTCCCCAACCTAGCAAGGCAGGCAAACAATCAAATTCAGGAAATACAGAGAACACTACAACGATACTCCTCGAGAAGAGCAACTCCAAGACACATAATTGTCAGATTCACCCAGATGAAGGAAAAAATGTTAAGGGCAGCCAGAGAGAAAGGTCGGGTTACCCACAAAGGGAAGCCCATCAGACTAACAGTGGATCTCTCTGCAGAAACTCTACAAGCCAGAAGAGAGTGGGGGCCAATATTCAACATTCTTAAAGAAAAGAATTTTCAACCCAGAATTTCATATCCAGCCAAACTAAGCTTCACAAGTGAAGGAGAAATAAAATCCTTTACAGACAAGCAAATGCTGAGAGATTTTGTCACCACCAGGCCTGCCTTACAAGAGCTCCTGAATGAAGCACTAAACATGGAAAGGAACAACTGGTACCAGCCACTGCAAAAACATGCCAAATTGTAAAGACCAATGATGCTAGGAAGAAACTGTATCAACTAACAGGCAAAATAATCCACGAACATCATAATGACAGGATCAAATTCACACATAACAATATTAACTTTAAATGTAAATGGACTAAATGCCCCAATTAAAAGACACAGACTGGCAAATTGGATAAAGAGTCAAGACCCATCAGTGTGCTGTATTCAGGAAACCCATCTCACGTGCAGAGACACACATAGGCTCAAAATAAAAGGATGGAGGAAGATCTACCAAGCAAACGTAAAGTAAAAAAAAAAAAAAAAAGGGGTTGCAATCCTAGTCTCTGATAAAACAGACTTTACACCAACAAAGATCAAGAGAGACAAAGAAGGCCATTACATAATGGTAAACGGATCAATTCAACAAGAAGAGCTAACTATGCTAAATATATATGCACCCAATACAGGAGCACCCAGATTCATAAAGCAAGTCCTTAGAGACCTACAAAGAGACTTAGACTCCCACACATTAATAATGGGAGACTTTAACACCCCACTGTCAACATTAGACAGATCAATGAGACAGAAGTTTAACAAGGATATCCAGGACTTGAACTCAGCTCTGCACCAGGTGGACCTAATAGACACCTACAGAACTCTCCACCCCAAATCAACAGAATATACATTCTTCTCAGCACCTATTCCACATCGCACTTATTCCAAAAGTGACCACGTAGTTGGAAGTAAAGCACTCCTAAGCAAATGTAAAAGAACAGAAATCACAACAAACTACCTGTCAGACCACAGTGCAAACAAATTAGAACTCAGGATTAAGAAATTCACTCAAAACCACTCAACTACATGGAAACTGAACAACCTGCTCCTGAATGACTACTGGGTAAATAACGAAATGAAGGCAGAAATAAATATGTTCTTTGAAACCAGTGAGAACAAAGACACAACGTACCAGAATCTCTGGGACACATTTAAAGCAGTGCGTAGAGGGAAATTTATAGCACTAAATGCCCACAAGAGAAAGCAGGAAAGATCTAAAATTGACACCCTAACATCACAACTAAAAGAACTAGAGAAGCAAGAGCAAACACATTCAAAAGCCAGCAGAAGGCAAGAAATAACTAAGATCAGAGCAGAACTGAAGGAAATAGAGACACAAAAAACCCTTCAAAAAAATCAATGAATCCAGGAGCTGGTGTTTTGAAAAGATCAACAAAATTGATATACCGCTACCAAGACTAATAAGGAAGAAAAGAGAGAAGAATTAAATAGACGCAATAAAAATGATAAAAGGAATATCACTACTGATCCCACAGAAATACAAACCACCATCAGAGAATACTACAAACACCTCTGCACAAATAAACTAGAAAATCTAGAAGAAATGGATAAATTCCTGGACACATACAGCCTCCCAAGACTTAACTAGGAAAAAGTTGAATCTCTGAATAGACCAATAACAGGCTCTGAAATTGAGGCAATAATTAAGAGCCTACCAACCAAAAAAAGTCCAGGACCGGATGGATTCATAGCTGAATTCTACCAGATGTAAAAAGAGGAGCTGGTACCATTCCTTCTGAATTATTCTAGTCAATAGAAAAAGAGGGAATCCTCCCTAACTCATTTTATGAGGCCAACATCATCCTGATACCAAAGCCTGGCAGAGACACAACAAAAAAAGAGAATTTTAGGCCAATATCCCTGATGAACATCCATGCGAAAATTCTCAGTAAAATACTGGCAAACCGAATCCAGCAGCACATCAAAAAGCTTATCCAGCACGATCAAGTTGGCTTCATCCCTGGGATGCATGACTGGTTCAACATATGCAAATCAATAAACGTAATCCATCACATAAACAGAATCAAAAACAAAAACCACATAATTATCTCAATAGATGCAGAAAAGGCCTTCGACAAAATTCAACAGCTCTTCATGCTAAAAACTCTCAATAAACTAGGTATTGATGGACCATATCTCAAAATAATAAGAGTTATTTATGACAAATCCACAGCCAATATCATACTGAATGGACAAAAACTGGAAGCATTCTCTTTGAATGCTGGCACATATACACCATGGAATACTATGCAGCCATAAAAAATTCTTCCAGTTATTCCCTTTGAAAACGGGCACAAGACGGCGATGCCCTCTCTCACCACTCCTATTCAACACAGTGTTGGAAGTTCTGGCCAGGGCAATCAGGCAGGAGAAGGAAATAAAGGGTATTCAATTAGGAAAAGAGGAAGTCAAATTGTCCCTGTTTGCAGATGACATGATTGTATATCTAGAAAACCCCATCATCTCAGCCCCAAATCTCCACAAGCTGATAAGCAACTTCAGCAAAGTCTCAGGATACAAAATCAATGTACAAAAATCACAAGCATTCTTATATACCAATAACAGACAAACAGAGAGCCAAATCATGAGTGAACTCCCATTCACAATTGCTTCAAAGAGAATAAAATACCTAGGAATCCAACTTACAAGGGATGTGAAGGACCTCTTCAAGGAGAACTACAAACCACTGCTCAAGGAAATAAAAGAGGATACAAACAAATGGAAGAACATTCCATGCTCATGGGTAGGAAGAATCAATATCGTGAAAATGGCCATACTGCCCAAGGTAATTTACAGATTCAATGCCATCCCCATCAAGCTACCAATGACTTTCTTCACAGATTTGGAAAAAATACTACTATAAGTTCATATGGAACCAAAAAAGTGCCCGCATCGCCAAGTCAGTCCTAAGCCAAAAGAACAAAACTGGAGGCATCATCACGCTACCTGACTTCAAACTATACTACAAGGCGACAGTAACCAAAACAGCATGGTACTGGTACCAAAACAGAGATATAGATAAATGGAACAGAACAGAGCCCTCAGAAATAATGCCGCGTATCTACAACTATCTGATCTTTGACAAACCTGACAAAAACAAGCAATGGGGAAAGGATTCCCTATTTAATAAATGGTGCTGGGAAAACTGGTTAGCCATATGTAGAAAGCTGAAACTGGATCCCTTCCTTACACCTTATACAAAAATTAATTCAAGATGGATTAAAGACTTAAATGTTAGACCTAAAACCATAAAAACCCTAGAAGAAAACCTAGGCAATACCATCCAGGACATAGGCATGGGCAAGGACTTCATGTCTAAAACACCAAAAGCAATGGCAACAAAAGACAAAATTGACAAATGGGATCTAATTGAACTAAAGAACCTCTGCACAGCAAAAGAAACTACCATCAGAGTGAACAGGCAACCTACAGAATGGGAGAAAATGTTTGCAACCTACTCATCTGACAAAGGGCTAATATCCAGAATCTACAATGAACTCAAACAAATTTACAAGAAAAAAACTCACACCAGTTAGAATGGCAATCATTAAAAAGTCAGGAAACAACAGGTGCTGGAGAGCATGTGGAGAAATAGGAACACTTTTACACTGTTGGTGGGACTGTAAAGTAGTTCAACCATTGTGGGAGTCAGTGTGGCAATTCCTCAGGATCTAGAACTAGAAATACCATTTGACCCAGCCATCCCATCACTGGGTATATACCCAAAAGGATTATAAATCATGCTGCTATAAAGACACATGCACACATATGTTTATAGCGGCACTATTCACAATAGCAAAGACTTGGAACCAACCCAAATGTCCAACAATGATAGACGGGATTAAGAAAATGTGGCACATATACACCATGGAATACTATGCAGCCATAAAAAATGATGAGTTCATGTCCTTTGTAGGGACATGGATGAAACTGGAAACCATCATTCTAAGCCAACTATCACAAGGACAAAAAACCAAACACCTCATGTTCTCACTCATAGGTGGGAATTGAACAATGAGAACACATGGACACAGGAAGGGGAACATCACACATGGGGGACTGTTGTGGGTTTGGGGGAGGGGGGAGGGATAGCATTAGGAGATATACCTAATGCTAAATGACGAGTTAATGGGTACAGCACACCAACATGGCACATGTATACATATGTAACAAACCTGCACTTTGTGCACATGTATCCTAAAACTTAAAGTATAATAAAAAAAAAAGTCAGGAAACAACAGGTGCTGGAGAGGATGTGGACAAATAGGAACACTTTTACACTGTTGGTGGGACTGTAAACTACTTCAACCATTGTGGAAGTCAGTGTGGCAATTCCTCAGGGATCTAGAACTAGAAATACCATTTGACCCAGCCATCCCATTACTGGGTATATACCCAAAGGATTCTAAATCATGTTACTGTAAAGACACACGCATACATATGTTTATTGCGGCACTATTCACAATAGCAAAAACTTGGAACCAACCCAGATGTCCTTCAATGATAGACTGGATTAAGAAAATGTGGCACATATACGCCATGGAATGCTATGCAGCCATAAAAAGGGATGAGTTAATGTCCTTTGCAGGGACATGGATGAAGCTCAAAACCATCATTCTAAGCAAAATATCATTAAGGACAGAAAACCAAACACCACACCTTCTCACTCATAGGTGGGAATTGAACAATGAGAACACTTGGACGCAGGGCGGGGAACATCACACACCAGGGCCTGTCGTGGGGTGGGGGGCAGGGGGAGGGATAGCATTAGGAGAAATACCTAATGTAAATGGTGAGTTAATGGGTGCAGCAAACCAACATGGCACATGTATACGCATGTAACAAAGCTGCATGTGGTGCACATGTACCCTTGAGCTTATAGTATTAAAAAAAAATTAGGCAGGAGAATTGCTTGAACCCAGGAGGTGTAGGTTGCAGTGAGCTGAGATCGCACTCCAGCCTGGGTGACAGAGTCAGACTCCATCTCAAAAAAAAAAAAAAAAAAAAAAAAGGTTGTTTTCTTAACATTGAGTTTTAACAGCTCTCTCTCTCTCTCTCTCTCTCTCTCTCTCTCTAGTTTTTCTTTGTATATTTTGGATACAGAATGTTTAAAAAATATTTTCAGATGTGTTTTGCAAATATTTTATCCCAGTCAGTGGCTTGCCTTTTCCTTCTAACAGTCTCTCCTGCAAGGCAGAAGTTTTTAATTTTTGCAAAGTCCATGTTATCTATTTTTTTCTTTCATGGATTATTCTTTTGATGTTTTATCTAAAAACTCACCACCAAACCCAAGTCACCTAGAGTTTTTCCTACATTATATTCTGGAAGTTTAAGGTTTTATGTTTTATACTGAGGTCTATGATCCATTTGGAATTAATGTTTGTGAATAAAATAAGTTTAGTGTCTAGATTTATTTTTTTGCATGTGAATATCCAGTTATTTCAGCACCATTTGTCCTGGTACCATCAGTATCTCCAGGGAACTAGTTAGAAATCTGAATTATTGGGTTCTGCCCCAGACCTGCTGAATCCGTTACTCCAGATGATTCTGATGTATGTACATGTTTGAGAAAACCATGGCAGACCCAGCATCTGTTTGCTGTCAGGCCAGCTGGGTTGTTGTGCCACTGCATGTCCATAAGCATCCGCAGAACCCAGAACACACCTTAAATCTGGCTTCTGTGGACTGAATATAGGGCAGATCCTTTATCATTTTTCCATTCAATTACCTTCTTTGTCAAAGATCATTTGACTCTATTTGCATGTTTGTGTGTGGGGCAGGGGCAGGAGGTGGGGAGGGCTGTCTCTTCTGTTCCATTGATCTATTTGTCTATTATTTCACCAATACCACACTGTCATGATTAATGTAATTTATAGTAAGTTTTGAAGTTGTGTAGCATCAGTCCTTGGCCTTTGTTCTTTCTCAGCAAGGTGTAGGCTATTCTGGATCTCTTGTTCATATAAATTTTAGAATCACTTTGTTAATATCCACAAAATAATTTGCGGATATTATGATTGAGATTGCTTTGAATCTATAGGTCAAGTTGCAAAGAACCGACATCTTAACAAAATAGATTCATCCTATGTGTGAACATAAAATATTTATCATTTATTTATATCTTATTTGATTTCTCTCATCCGAGTTTTGTAATTTTGCTTGTATAGATGTTATATATATTTTGGTAGATATATTCCAAAGCACTTCATTTTGTTTGGTGCTAATATAAATGATATTATGCTTTTAATTTAAAAATTGCTTATTGCTTTTATATAGAAAAGTAATTGACTTTTATAAATTAACCTGCTGCCCAGCAACTTTCCTTTAATTACATATTAATTCCAGGAGTTTCTTTTTTTAATTGATTGTTTGAGGAGATTTTTCTACATAAACAATTATGCTACCTGTGAGAAAGACAATTTTATTTCTCCCTCCCTAATTTGTAAAAATTTTTTTCTTTTTGATTTTCTTTTCTGGTCATATTGCATTAGCTAGGACTTCCAGTATGATATTCAGTAGGCGTGGTGAGAAGGAACATCCTTACCTTTTTCCGGATTTTAGTGACAAATTATCTGGTTTGTTACCATTAAGTATGATGTTAGCTGTAGGTTTTTCTTCTTTATTAAGTTGGGAAGTTCCCCTCTATTCCTAGTTTGCTGAGAATTTTTATTGTGAATGGATGTTAGATTTTGGCAAATGAGTTTTCTGTATCTATTTATGTAATCATTAATTTTTCTTCTGTAGCTTGTTGATAAATTCTATTAACTAATAATTGAAATCCTGATCTAGCCTTGAATACTTGAAATAAATTCTACTTGGTTGTGGTGTATTATTCTCTTTACACCTAGTTAGATTTAATTTGCTAAGATTTTGTTAAGAATTTTTGCGCGTATGTTCATGAAAGACACTGTTCTGCAGTTTTCCTTTCTTTTAGTGTTCTTATATGGTTTTAGTATTAGGGTAATGCTGGCTTCACTGAATGAGTATTCTTTCTACTTTTGTTTCTGGAAAGGTATTATACAGAATTGGTATCATTTTGTCTTCAAATATTTGGGAGAAGTCACCAGTGAAACCATTTAGGCTTAGCACTTTCTATTCTGGAAGGTTATTAATTATTAAATAAATTTATTTAACAGTCATAGAACTATTCAGATTATCTATTTCTTCTTGTGTGAATTTTGCTAGATTTAAGAAATTGGTCCATTTCATTTATGTTATCAGATTTGTGGGCATAGAATTGTTGGTAATATTTCTTTATTATCATTTTGTTGTCCAGTGGAACAATAATGATGACACCTCTTTCATTTATGATATTAGTAATTTATATCTTTTTTTATTCTTCGTTAGCCTGGCTACAGGTTTATAAATTTTGTTGATATTTTCAAAGAATCAGGTTTTAGTTTTGTTAATTTCTCTATACTTTTGCTGTTTTCAATTTCATTGATTTCTGCTTCTAATTTTTATTATTTCTCCCTGTTTAAAGCTTATATATTTTTTTCTCTAGTTTTCTAAGGTGAAATCATAGCTTATTGATTTTAGTTCTTTATTCTTTTCTAATATATGCATTCAATAGTATAAATTTTCCTCTAAGCACTGCTTTCTCTGCTTACATGTTTTGATAAGTTGTATTTTCATTTTTATTTAGTTCAAATATTTTTACATTTATTTTGAAACTTCTTCTGTAAGTGTGTTTTATTTAGAAGTTTGTTGTTTAACCTCCAAGCATTTGGGAATTTCCAGCTATCTTTCTGTTATTGATTTCTAATTTAATTCCATTGTGGTCTGAGTGCATACATCATATGATTTCTCATCTTTTATATTTGTTGTTGCATGTTTTATGGACAATAATGTGGTCAATCTGGTTGAATGGACATTGTGAGCTTGAGAAGAGTATGTACTCTACTGTCGTCAGATGTAGCATTCTATAAATGTCAGTTAGATCCAGTTGATTGATGGTGCTTTTCAGTTCAACCACAGTTACATGTTCCTTAATGAAGGAGATGCATTCTGAGAAATGCATTGTTAGGTGACTTCGTTGTGCAAATATTATAAATATTATAAAGGGTACTTACATAAAGCTGGATAGTGTGGCCTACTACACACTTAGGCTATATAGTATAGCCTGTTACTCCTAGGCTACAAAGCTGTATAGCATGTTATTGTACTGAATACTGTAGGAAATTGTAACATAATGGTAAGGATTTGTGTATCTAAACATAGAAAAGGTATAGTAATGTACAGTACAATAGACAAAAAATTGTATAGCTGTATAAGTCACTTACCATGTATGAAGCTTGCAGGACTGGAAGTTACTTTGGGTGAGTCAGTGAATGAGAAGTGAGTGAATATGAATGTCTAGGACGTTGCTGTATGCTACTGTAGATTTTATAAACACTGTACTCAGGCTATAATACATTTATAAAAATATTTTTCTGTATTCAATAATAAATTGACTTTAGCTTGCTGTAATTTTTTTACTTTATGAACTTTTAATTTTTTTTTACTTTTTGTCTGTTTTGTAATAATACTTGGCTAAAGCACAAATGCATTGTACAGCTGTACAAAAATATTTTCTTCCTGATATCCTTATTCTGTATGCCTTTTTCCATTTAACTACTTTACTTTTTAAACTTTTTTGTTAAAAACGAAGACATAAACACATACATTAGCTTTAATGATAAAAAGTATGGTATAATAAATACATAAACCAGTGACATAGTCTTTTAATATCATTATCAAGTAATATGTTCTGTACATAATTATATATGCTGTACTTTTATGTGACAAACATGTGAGTTACCAGGTAATAGGAATTTTTTAGCTCTACTATAGTTTTATGGGATCACCATAACATATGCAATCTAACATTGACCAAAAGGTTGTTATGTGGCTAATGATTGTAACTACAGTTGGCCCTTCATATCTGTGGGTTCCATATCAGTGGATTCAACCAATTGCGGAGCCAAAATATTCTAAAAATTGGAAAAATAACAATACAACAATAAAAATAATACAAACACAATACAATATAGTATAACAACTATTTACATAGCATTTGCATTTTATTTGGTGTTATAGGTAATCTAGAGATAATTTAAAATACTGTATATGGGAGGATGTGTATAGGTTATACACAAATGCTATGCCATTTGAACATCTGCAGAGTTTGGTATCACAGGAGCTCCTGGAACCAATACCCTGTGGATATCAAGGGATAACCATATTTATAAAACAGAAAATGGCAGAAATAACAAATAAATTTAAAGGGAGAAATAAAATATAAATATAAAATATAAAAATAAAAAATAAAATATGCAATAAAATAATAAAGCTCACATACACAATATTAGAAAAAGGACAAGGAAAGAGAGGCAGAGACTTTAAAAAAAAAACACAGAGAATTGTATTTTTTAAAAGTTAATGTATGACCAGTAATGTAGTAAGTTTGTCTACACCAGCATCACTACAAACACAAGAGCAATATGCTGCACTATGACGTTAATGACATTATGGCTATGACTAGATAATAGGAATTTTTAGATTCATTATAATCTTATTGGACCTCCGTTGTATATCTGGTCTGTCATCGACCAAAACAGCATTATGAGGCTCATGATTGTATTTCCTTACTGATTTTTCTAACTACTGATTTCTCAATTAATCATAGAGGTGTGTTGAAGCCAAAAAATATAGTAATATATTTCTCTCTTTTTGTGGTTCTAGCAATTGTTGCCTTATGTATTTTGACCTGAGTTTTATATCTGGACTCATTATTATGATTCATTGACATGCGTATCTGTTCTTTCACTAATAGAAGCTGTCTTGGTTACTGTAAGGTCATTGTAAGTCTTAATGTCAGATAGTGTAATTTCACCAACTTTGTTCTTTTTCATAATCAGCTTGACTATTATAGTGCCTTTGTTTTTCCATATAATAATTAGGTCACTGACTTCTGAAAAAAAATCCTGCTGGAATTTCTTGTGATTGCTTTCAAACCATAGATCAGTTTGAAGAGAAATAATATTTTAACAATAATGAGTCTTCCAATCCTGCACATAGTATATTCTTTTCTTTTTCTTTTTTTTTTCAGATGGAGTCTCGCTCTGTCACCCAGGCTGGAGTGCAGTGACATGATCTTGGCTCACTGCAACCTCTGCCTCCCCGGTTCAAGTGATTCTCCTGCTTCAGTCTCCCGAGTAGCTGGGATTACAGGAGCGTGCCACCATGCCGAGCTAATTTTTTGTATTTTTAGTAGAGATGGGGTTTCACTGTGTTAGCCAGGATGGGCTCGATCTGACCTTGTGATCCGCCCACCTCGGCCTCCCAGAGTGTTGGGATTACACGTGTGAGCCACCAGGCCCGGCCCATATATTCTCTTATTCACTCATTTACTTAGATCTTTTCAAATTTTCTCATTATTGTCTTACAGTGTTCAGCCTACATATTTTGTCCTTATTTAGATTTATACCTAATATTTCATATTTTTGTGTTATTTTCAATGTTATTTCAACTTCCATTTGTTCATTGCTAGTATATTGAAGTACAATTAATTTTTTTGCATTGTTCTTCTTCCCCATGATCTTGCTAAAGTCACTTTTTATTCCTAGTAGCTATGTTATAGATTCTTTTGGATTTTCTATGCAGACAATCATGTCTTCAGCAAATTGAGACTTTTTTTTCCCTTCAGTCTCTATTTTATTATTATTGTTTTTTGCTGTAATACACTAGACTTTGAAAATACTGTACACTTGGTCTACACTCTTGACCCACTCCCCTACTTTCTCCCATGCAGCAGCTGGAGAGTGTCTTCCTCCCAGGAGAGGGACTTCCTCCTGCAATGTCCTTCCAGTGCCCTCTACTGAGAAAGCACAACATTGTGCTGAATTTACAGGAAAGATGCTTAAATTAATTCTATTATCACAGAACATACATTGAAAATAAATATAGAAATGAGATGTAATAAATTAATAAATGGCACACCTCTTTTGCGATATTAGCATTTAATGCTAAAATTGTTGCCAAGTACTGCATCTCACAAATTAATGTATGCTGTGTTTTCATTTTCATTCAAGTTATAATATTTTCTAATTTCTCTTTTGACTTGGTCTTTGACCTACGGGTTATGCAAAAGTGTGTTTTGAAATTTCTCAATATTTGGATATCTCTAGCTATTCTTCTGTTATTGATTTCAAGTTTAATTTTGTTTTTATAAGAGAATATACTTTATATGACATTAATCATTTTAAATTTGTTGAAGTATGTTTTATGACCTGGAGTATGATTTATCATGGTGAATATTCCATGTGCACTTGAGAAAAACATGTATCCCGTAGTTGCTCATGAATGATTTCTCTAGATGTCAGTCAGGTCAAGTTAATTTGTAATGTTTTTAAGTCTAATGTATATTCTGATTTTGTTCTATTGATTACTAAGAGAAGATTTTGATGTCTGCCACTAAAATTGTGGATTTTAAAATTTAGCCTTTAGTCCCATCAATTCTTGCTTTCCTTATTTTGATACTCTGTTTTTAGTTGCATAGACATTTAAGATTGTTCTGTTCTCTTTGTGATTGATCCCTTTCTTATTATGAAATGCTCCTCTTTATTCCTGGTAATATTCCTTGTTCTTAAGTTTATGTTACCTGTTAGGAATATGGCTTATCCATCCTTCTTTTGATTAATATTTTGATGGAAGTGTAAACAGTTCAGTTATATTTAGGAATTGGGGTATGTTTGACTTGTTCTGTTTACCTTCAATGTACCACTGTCTTGAAGTTATTTTGATATTATTTTGTGCATAGAGTGGAAACTGGGGTACTAGAAAAATATTATCATTGTTCCAGCTTTGCCTTTAGTTTTAGACCTTTCCTATGCATCTGTGCACAGAGGGGATCTCTCTGTGCCCTCTACCATACCCCTCTAGTAAATTCTTACTGCTTTTTACTCTTTTGTTGCTTGACTGGTTTTACAAGTGTACTTTTTAATTTTCAAGTGTTTGGAGAATTTTCCCTGTTTTGACTTCTACTTTAATTACATTATAATAAGATAATATACTTTGTATGATTCTTTTTCTTTTAAATTCGTTAAGGTTTGGCCAGGTGTGGTGGCTTATTCCTGTAATCCCAGCAGTTTGGGAGGCTGAAGCGGGAGGATCGCTTGGGCCCTAGAGATCAAGACCAGCCTAGGCAACATAGCTAGACCACCATCTCTTAAAAAAATATATTGTTAAGATTTGTTTTACAATCTAGGATATGGTATATTTTAGTGAATCTTTCTTGTGAATTTGAAAAGGATGTGACTTCTGCTATTGTTGGATGAAGTGTTCAAAAAATGTTGGTTAGATCCTATTGATTTATGGTATTGTTGAGTTCTATATTTTTTTCTGATATTCAATCTATGAGCATTGTAATTTCTATCTGTAACAGAAAATTTGTCAATTTCTCCTTCAGTTTTCTCAGTTTTTATGCCCTGTATTTTGGAGCTCTGTTGTTAGGTGCATACACATTTAGGGTTGTTATATCTTCATGACAAATTGACTGTTGAATCATTATGTAAGGTTTCTCTTTATTTCTGGTAATTTTCTTTGTGCTGAAATCTACTTTGTCTGATATGAATATAGCAACTCCAACTTCTTTTGTAAGAGTTTGCATGGTATATCTTTTTCTATCCTTTTCCTTATAACCTATTTGAAGCATTAGATTTCACATGGACAACATATAGTTGTATTATGTTTTGCTACCCATTCTAATGATCTCTGTCTTTTAATTGGTGTGCTCAGACCATTTACATTTAATACAGTTATTGATATATTTGTATTCCACTTTACCATTTTATTATTTAGTTTTGTTTGTTCTCTTCATTTTTGTATCTCCATTCTCTATTTTCTGCATTCTTTTGCACTTTTTGAATATTTTTTGGTATTCTATTTTACTTGCCCATTGAGTCTTTGACTATATCTCCTTGAAATTTATTTTAGTAATTGCTCTAGAGAATTACTTAACTTTATATTTAGTCTAATTAGACTACATATTTTATCAACATCAAATGGATGTTGATATATCTTACCACCATATAGATCCCTTTTCTTACTAGGTGCATTGAAAACCCTGCAAGACAATGTTATAATTTTAACTTTCAACCATGAAACATATCTTAAGGATCTCAAGAGAAAGTAGTCTATATTTACCCAGATATTTACCATTTTGTTTTCTTCTTTCATTCCTTATGTTCCATTTTTCTTTCTGGTATTATTTTGCTTCTATCTGAAAAATTTGCATTAACAATATTTTTCTAAAGCAGGTCTGCTGGCAAATAATTCTCTTAGGTTTTCTTTATTTGAGAATATCTTATTTCTCTTTTATTTTTTGAAGAATATTTTCACTGAATAAAGAAATCTGGGCTGATGGTTCTTTCCTTTCAGTACCTAAAAATGTGTGCTACTTTATTCTGAACTCCATGATTTCTGATAAAAAATTCATTGTCATTTGAATTATTGTTTTCCTACAAATAATGCGTAGCTTGTCTCTGTTTAAAGGTTTTTAATTGCCTTCTATTCTTAGCAGGTTGCATATGTGTCACAGAGCATGGATTTCTTTGGGTTTGTCCTCTTAGGAATTTGTTGAACATTTTGAATCTTTAAGTTTATGTCTGTTGCTAAACAGGAAATTTCCAGCTATTAATTCTTCAAACATTTTTTTTCAGGTCTACATTCTTTTCTTATCTCCTTTTGGAACTCTAACGATACAATGTTAGACCTTTTTTATTATCGCACATGTTCCGAAGGCCCTGTTAATTTTTCTCAAATCTATTTTTTCTCTGTTACTCTGACTGGATAGTTTTTATTAAACTATCTTTGAGTTCACTGATCCCTTCCTCTGTCATATCCATTCCAATATTGAGACCTTTTAGTGAGGTTTTTTCCAATTGTAGTTATTGTATTGTTCAGTTGTACTATTTCTGTCCAATTCTGTTTCTTGCTGTAACTGTCTATTTTTTTATTTGTTTCACGAGTGTTAGAAATTACTTGGTGGAACATTTTTGTGATAGCTGCTTTAAGTTCTTTTTCATATTTTGAAACAGGGTCTCCCTCTGTCACTCGAACTAGAGTGCAGTGGTATGTTCATAGCTCACAGTAACCTCGAACTGGGATCCTCTTGCCCCAGCCTTCCTAGTAGCTAGGACTATAGGTATGCAACACCATATCCAGTTGATTTTTATTTTTTATTTTTTTATTGAGATGGGTTCTCTGTATGTTGTCCAGGCCGGTTACAAATTTTTGGCCTCAAGCAATCCTCACACCTTGGCCTCCCAAAGTGTTGGGATTACAGGTGTAAGCCACTATGCCTGGCCAATTGCTTTACGTTTTTTGTCAGATATTTTTAATATATTTTATTTTTACATTAGCATCTGTTGATTTTTTTTTGCCCTGTGTGAAGTGATATTTTTCTAATTCTTCATATATTGAGTACTTTTGGATTTGTTCCTGGGCATGAATATTATGTCATGAGGTACTGAGTCTTTAAAAATATTTATGTTAAATGTTATTTTTGTTTCAGCAAGCAATCAACCTGTTTAGGTTTAGGACACACAGTCCAGCCCACCTTCTGTGGACTGCAGTCCCAAAGTTAATTCAGTTTTCAGAGTCTTTGCAATGTTATTTTTAGTTGTCCTGTGTGTGTGCCACCCAGTGGCCACTCTGAGACCTGGGCAATAATCTGTGAGTTCCATCCTTAAATTCTTTGCTGTATTGATTAAATCAGATCTACCCATGGTCAACTTTGGGGTGAGAACAGAAATTCATTAACAAATCTTTATGGTGCCTCTTTCCCAAGCTATTCCCTCTCTCTGATTTCCTGCCTATTATTTTCTATATAGTTTCCTGGGCCTCTGATTTTTAATTATTATGTCAGAAAACTGGGGATTTAGTTGCTTCTCCATATATGCTTCTGCATCTAGAGAGAAACAGCAAGAAGACACAAGGAGAAATAAAATTAATAGAGGATTGACCCACCTTCTTGGGATTGGGGCTCCATGGACTGCAAAAAGCAGTTTTCCTCACTCAAAACTTGGATTCCTGTGGGCTCTCATTCCATCTCTGCTGCCATCACAAAGAGATTGTATGGGGCCTGGGACCCAAGAATGTGGAAGAAAAAAAATTAACGCAAGAAGATTTCCATACTTTCTCTAGGTACTAAGAAATCCCCTTTCTGTTTATTGAACCAGAACTAGAGGGCTTTTCCTGGAGTTACTTTTACACGCTGGTGCCCAATTCTAGATTTCAGTTTTTTGTTTTTTTTCTTTCAGTCTTTGTTCAGGTTTTATAGTTGCATTCAGTGGGAGAGACACGGGGACTACACTTAGTCCATTGTACCCCAAACTGTAATTCCTCTATTAAATTTTTAGTACAACAATTCAACATTTTGTTTATTTTTAAGATGTTCATTTGTTCTAAGACCTTTATATTTTCTTTGTTTTTTTCTTTAATAGTTTATAATATTAATATAAACTATATTAACTTTCAACCAGGTAAAGATATGAAGGAAGTCTTTTATAATTTTGAAAATAATTTTACTTTTTCTCCCAACTATATTTGCTATTGTCTTGTTTATTTACATTGTGGTATTTCCTGTGTTTTTGGTTTTCCAATACTTTATTTACTACCCCATATCCTAATGGGACCATAGTATTTGAAATGGCAAAAACATTGAAGGCATCTATGTTTCTCTCTGTGTATGGCTGTGCTTTATCTCACATATAGTGATATGTAGTTTTATACATTTCATCTTTTCTGTCAAAATAGATTGTTAACAATTTGAATTTTTATCCTTTTATTTAGGAGACTAATGCTAATATTTCCTGATTTTTGGATGTGCTAGTGAGTATCCTGAGAATAAAGCCTATACATAGTTTCTTTTAAGAGCAATAGGATATTCTTAATGTGTCTTGTTTTTTATCTTTCTTTTTGTATACCATCTGTGGCTACTATAATAAAAATTATATTTTTGTGATTCTGGGATAGTGAGTTGGTATCAATTAATGACATCTAGATTGCTATCTATTTATTTCTCTATCTTCCTTACTGAGCTGTGACCACCTTAAGGGCAGGTGGAAACGGTTTCTTCATGTTTATGTTGTCAGCAGCCAGAACAGCCAGGCAACATGTGGATACAAAAATACTTATTCATATTATTTTCCGCTGTGTTAATTTCTTTGACATTCTATATGTTTCTCAACTCTATTTTCTATGTTACTAATTGATTTTTCTGCAACATCAGTTCTATTTTTAACTACTTCCCATACTAATTTAAATGGTTCCATAGTGACATTCAAGTTTATTCTGTTCCTTTTTCAAAGGTGCCAAATAAATAATTCCTCATCGTTTTAAGATGTTTCAATTTTGTTCAAATTTTCTGAGAGATCAGGTTTCCTGACAGGCTGTTTTGCAGTTCTATTTTCATTGTTTGTCTATGGTAAGAGCTTAAATTGTCCAAGTCCAGGATTTGTGATTGGGTCATTCTTGAAGGAACATTCTTTTTTTTTTTTTTTTTTTTTTTTTTTGGTTTAAAATAACAGAAATTCATTCTCACAGTTCCGTGGAGGCCAGAGGTCCAAAATGAATATAACTACACCAAAATCAAATTGCTGGTGGATGCTTCATCCTCCAGAATTTCTAGGAGAGAATCTGTTACTTGATGCTTCCCATTTTTTTGTGGCTACTGGTATTCCTTTGTTTGTGGCTGCATCACTCCAATCTCTGGCTTCATGGTCACATTGTCTTCTCTTCTTCTGTCTGCAATCTCCCTGCCTCTGATTAAACACACTTGTGATTGCACTTAGGACCTATCTAGATCATCCAAGAAAATCTCCCTATCTCAAGATCCCCAACTTAATCACATCAGCAAAGACCTCATTTCCATGTAAGGTAATATAGGGTTCATGGATTAGGACCGGATGTCTTGGGGGCCATTATTCAGCTTACTACAACATATATTTATACACTTTGTGCCTGGATGAGTTCTCAGTATTTTAAATGTCTTAAGTTACTCTCACAACAATCTATGATATAGGTACTATTATTTTCATTTTTCAGATGGCAAGGCTGATGCAGAGAAAGGTCATAATAATTTGCCCAAGCTCGATCATACTCACATGTTCTTTGACCACATGCAATTACTTAGAACCAACAACAAAAGCTATTTTTTAAATTTTCTATTCTGAAATAATTCCAGATTTACAATAAATCTGCAAAACAGTACAAAGCATTCCTATAACTTCACTTAGATTTTCCAAAGGTTAACATCTTACCACATTTACTGTACCATTTTCTCTCTGTATAATTTGTCCAGAACCAGTTGCATATACAATACTCTGTTAACCCTAAACGTTCAGTATGCATTTCCTAAAAAACAAGGACTTTTTCCTCAAGAAACCATGACATTATTAGCAAAATCAGAAAGTCACACTGTTATAAGCTATTAATAATTTAAAGACCTTACTCAAATTTTACCGATAGTCTCAAAAATGTCTGATAGAGCAAAAGTTTAAATTGATCAGGATCCAATCAAGAAACATGTGCTGCATATACTTGTCACATCTCTTTAGTCTCCCTTAACCTGAAATTTTTGACAGGCATAGGCTGGTAATTTTGTAGGATATTCCTCAGTTTAGCTTTTTCTGATATTTCTCTCCACTATGATCATGTTATATATTTTTGGCAGGAATATCACATAATTAATGTGTCTTTGGCACATTTTGTCAGGATTCACAAAATATAGAATTGTCTTATTAACAGTGATATTAACAATACAAATTTTTTTTGAAAAAGAAATACATTTCTAAAACTCTTAAGTCTGTGCATATAAAAACACTTTAAAATACCAATAACAGGATCTGAAATTGTGGCAATAATCAATAGCTTACCAACCAAAAAGAGTCCAGGACCAGATGGATTCACAGCTGAATTCTACTAGAGGTACAAGGAGGAACTGGTACCATTCCTTCTGAAACTATTCCAATCAATAGAAAAAGAGGGAATCCTCCCTAACTCATTTTATGAGGCCAGCATCATCCTGATACCAAAGCCAGTCAGAGACACATCCAAAAAAGAGAATTTTAGACCAATATCCTTGATGAACATCGATGCAAAAATCCTCAATAAAATACTGGCAAAACGAATCCAGCAGCACATCAAAAAGCTTATCCACCATGATCAAGCAGGCTTCATCCCTGGGATGCAAGGCTGGTTCAATATACGCAAATCAATAAATGTCATCCAGCATATAAACAGAACCAAAGACAAAAACCACATGATTATCTCAATAGATGCAGAAAAGGCCCTTGACAAAATTCAACAACACTTCATGCTAAAAACTCTCAATAAATTAGGTATTGATGGGACGTATCTCAAAATAATAAGAGCTATCTATGACAAACCCACAGCCAATATCATACTGAATGGGCAAAAACTGGAAGCATTCCCTTTGAAAACTGGCACGAGACAGGGATGCCCTCTCTCACTACTTCTATTAGACATAGTGTTGGAAATTCTGGCCAGGGCAATTAGGCAGGAGAAGGAAATAAAGAGTATTCAATTAGGAAAAGAGGAAGTCAAATTGTCCCTGTTTGCAGATGACATGATTGTATATCTAGAAAACCCCATTGTCTCAGCCCAAAATCTCCTTAAGCTGATAAGCAACTTCAGCAAAGTCTCAGGATACAAAATCAATGTACAAAAATCACAAGCATTCTTATACACCAACAACAGACAAACAGAGAGCCAAATCATGAGTGAACTCCCATTCACAATTGCTTCAAAGAGAATAAAATACCTAGGAATCCAACTTACAAGGGATGTGAAGGACCTCTTCAAGAACTACAAACCACTGCTCAATGAAATAAAAGAGGATACAAACAAATGGAAGAACATTCCATGCTCATGTGCAGGAAGAATCAATATCATGAAAATGGCCATACTGCCCAAGGTAATTTATAGATTCAATGCCATCCCCATCAAGCTACCAATGACTTTCTTCACAGAATTGGAAAAAACTACTTTAAAGTTCATATGGAACCAAAAAAGAGCCCGCATCGCCAAGTCAATCCTAAGCCAAAAGAACAAAGCTGGAGGCATCACGCTACCTGACTTCAAACTATAATACAAGGCTACAGTAACCAAAACAGCATGGTACTGGTACCAAAACAGAGATATAGATCAATGGAACAGAACAGAGCCCTCAGAAATAACGCTGCATATCTACAACTATCTGATATTTGACAAACCTGAGAAAAACAAGCAATGGGGAAAGGATTCCCTATTTAATAAATGGTGCTGGGAAAACTGGCTAGCCATATGTAGAAAGCTGAAACTGGATCCCTTCCTTACACCTTATACAAAAATTAATTCAAGATGGATTAAAGACTTAAATGTTAGACCTAAAACCATAAAAACCCTAGAAGAAAACCTAGGCAATACCATTCAGGACATAGGCATGGGCAAGGACTTCATGTCTAAAACACCAAAAACAATGGCAACAAAAAACAAAATTGACAAATGGGATCTAATTAAACTAAAGAGCTTCTGCACAGCAAAAGAAACTACCATCAGAGTGAACGGGCAACCTACAGAATGGGAGAAAATTTTCGCAACCTACTCATCTGACAAAGGGCTAATATCCAGAATCTACAATGAACTCAAACAAATTTACAAGAAAAAAACAAACAACCCCATCAAAAAGTGGGCAAAGGATATGAACAGACACTTCTCAAAAGAAGACATTTATGCAGCCAAAACACACATGAAAACATGCTCATCATCACTGGCCATCAGAGAAATGCAAATCAAAACCACAATGAGATACCATCTCACATCAGTTAGAATGGCAATCATTAAAAAGTCAGGAAACAACAGGTGCTGGAGAGGATGTGGAGAAATAGGAACACTTTTACACTGTTGGTGGGACTGTAAAGTAGTTCAACCATTGTGGAAGTCAGTGTGGTGATTCCTCAGGGATCTAGAGCTAGAAATACCATTTGACCCAGACATCCCATTACTGGGTATATACCCAAAGGACTATATATCATGCTGCTATAAAGACACATGCACATGTATGTTTATTGTGGCATTATTCACAATAGCAAAGACTTGGAACCAACCCAAATGTCCAACAATGATAGACTGGATTAAGAAAATGTGGCACATATACACCATGGAATACTATGCAGCCATAAAAAATGATGAGTTCATGTCCTTTGTAGGGACATGGATGAAATTGGAAATCATCATTCTCAGTAAACTATTGCAAGGACAAAGAACCAAACACCACATGTTCTCACTCATAGATGGGAATTGAACAATGAGAACACATGAACACAGGAAGGGGAACATCACACTCTGGGGACTGTTGTGGGGTGGGGGGAGGGGGGAGGGATAGCATTAGGAGATATACCTAATGCTAAATGATGAGTTAATGGGTGAAGCACACCAGCATGGCACAGGTATACATATGTAACTAACCTGCACATTGTGCACATGTACACTAAAACTTAAAGTATAATAATAATAAAACAAAACAAAAAAGAAACAAAAAACACTTTAACGAACAGGTCAAATAAATCATAATGTAAAGATATAAGTGGAAAAGCAATAAAAATATGTATAGATACATGTTTGTATGTACGCATACACCCAATCATGGGGTGAAGCAAAGGAGATAATTCAGATAAACTCAGATACTTACTATAGAAAAAACCTTGAAGATGAATGAGATAAATGTCCAATTTACAAAATGAGAAAAACCAACAGAACAAACCATCCGAAAGCAGAACATAAAAGAGAAGGGGAGAGAGAGTGAACAAAGCTAAGGTTGGTCTGAAGGAACATTCTTAACTTTCATTTCCAACTGGGGTTGAGTGATGGCTTCTCTGGGCTGCTAAAGTGCATAGTTTCAGTTTTCTCCATAATCAGAAAGAAATGATCATCAATATTGCTTCTAAATTTGAGGTTTTATTTTTGTGCTAAATGGAAGAAGTTTATTAGAAATAATAAACTATTAATAGAATAGAAATAATAAACTATTAGAAATAGAAATATCTTCCCACTTTTCAGAATATCAAGTATTTCCAAACATGGAATAGAGCTCATGAGAAAGAGCTCCTTTCCATTTGGAGTAAGGGTCAAAAAAAGCATTTGTCTTTTTGTAATCAAATTGTCAGAGTCCTTCCTACCCCTGTATTAGGGCTGGTATTGGCGCTCAAGCCTGTTGGCACATTTGCCCCTCCAGCCTCTCAGCTGAGAGGAAACAGGTCCCTGCTGGATCAGGGCCTGAGTCGGAGCTTACCCTTGGGAGGGTCCAGTCAGCCTTGGCCTGGCTGTGCCTCTGTATGTAGAGTATACGTCCTGAGTATACGCCCAGGAGGTCTCTGGCCATGCCAGGTTATTCTCTTGAGCCACTGTCCCTTCTGTGCAGGGTTCTAGGCTTGCGTTGGCTGCTGGTGCCAACTTTTAATTCTCTCCAATCTTGTCAGAGAGATTATACATTTGCTGCAGAATATGAAATATGCTCAAAATCTTGTCAAACATTTTGGGTGTTAATGTGGATTTTTTCTTACCCTTTGACAGAAAATGTCAAGGATATTTTAAGAGAAAAAAGGGAGAAGGAGCCTTATATGAATTCTCTTTCAGTGCCATCTTTCTGGAATGATAATATATTTCTATCTTAACTTCCGTGCCTGTTATTTTCATCTGAGAATTCTTTCTGTGTCATGTCTGATGGCTTCTTAGTTTTCAGTTTCATACTTTTTTGATGATGTTTTCATCTTTTGGACAATACTCCCCATTATCATTTTTGATTCTGTTATTGATTGTGAGTCTACTGTCTCACATTCTTTCCTATCCTTATAAAATTCCCTTTGTCTTTTGCCATAGTTCAGCTATTCTCTACATAAAGTCACTGAGAGTCAGGAGAATGAGTCTTATGTTAGCTTCGTCTTTCTTGACATTCCATACCCCTTTCTTTTATAAAGTTATGATCTTTAGGTAGAAAATAATTAAAATATAACAACCATTGCTATGTTCTTCAGTTTTTCCTCAGCTCTCTAAAATTTCTATATGCGCAGTTCATTTCATTTTTATTTTACTTGCTCCCAGGTGATGTGGGAGAAATTCATGATCCATGTATGGAGGACATAGCATAAGACTTTCCATCATGTACCAGACTAATGTTTCAAGAGGAAAGCATATCTGTCAGAGCAATATATGATCATCTAAACCAGGCATTTTGGTTACTATTTCCCCAAACTTGGCCAGGTTACTTTAAGCACTAAAGGTAAAGTTGTAAAAGGATCTATAATAATATCTCAGGAGCATCCAGGAGCAAGAAATATATGTATATACCCACAGGAGACTAGAATCAAGACCTGAAAGAACATCTAGAGCCAGGGTTCTTCTTTCTTCTTTTTCAGGGCTGCATAGCCTCACCTCTGTACTTGTCTGTTATCCAGGCATTTCCCTCTCTTTTGTGCATACGAATAAGGCCCCAAAGTGGCCATTTCCAGCTGAGTTTCTCATCACTTTCTAGTTCAAATGAACAGCAGAAATTGGCTAATATTCTCAATTCCCAATTTCTGGGAGGAAAAATCTATTGGCCTAGATTGGGTCCAATCAGTTCTATCAAATAGGAGTTCAAAGGTGCATCTTTTTGCGTGGGGTGGTAGTTCCTAGAAATAGAAGTACGTAGGATGGAAAGAAATTACAAAAAGGATCTGCCACAATGTATCCTTTTTAGAACTTCACTGACTACCAAGCTATTTTGGACATGGCAAGTGTAATTTTCTCTCTAGTTTATTCACCCCACTCCTTCTTAGAATTTGAACTGTTTCTATTTTTCCAGAATGCCTTGTTCTTATCTTCCAAGGGCAGAATCTTGAATATGTGGTTTTTAGCTTTAAAATAGGCCAGAGATACTTCATTCTTTAATCCTTCTTCCTGCATGCCAGTTTCCTTATCTCTAAAAAGTGGACATAATGATACCTCTGGCTATGGGGAAATTAAATAAGATCATATATATAAAAGTACCCAGAATTGTACCTGTCATATGATACACACTCAAATGATTTTGAGCCATAGTCTATTATATTCTTGCACTGGACACCAATTTATCCCCTGTCCTTAGGAATATTTTTCTTCTTTCTGGCTTCCTTCCTTTATTACTTTTTACAGTAGCACACTGCCTTTGCCAAGCCCCTGTCTTGTTTGAAGAATTCTGCTCCTTGAAAATTGGAATAGGATTTGTGCATTTTCAGTCTATCAAAAACTTTCAATTTTGCATTAGCTTCTCAAAGACCATTGACACAAGCTTGTTGATTTTATTTGCAAATTCTCTTTGTACCTTGGCTCCTTATGTCTCAGCCAAAATAATTGAAAACACTAAGAGAAAATGGATGTTTTTATCATCTCCTAATAAATTTAAGGCTCTAATTCTCTCACAATGGTTCAGTCCTTTTCTTTTCAGTCCGAATACCAGGTTCTTGAAGAAGCCAATGGAATGTAAGGAAATTCACTTTCCTTTCTCCATCAGTATTACACAGTTGATCCCAAGTTTATCTCTTGGACTTCTCCAGCTCTTAGAGTAACTGAGAAATCCTTTACTGGGAGTCTTAGTGTTTTTGTAAACCACAGCTCACCCTGGTTCCCGTCTTTCATGTCTCTGTCCACCATGTGCCTCCTTTCCATTTTGAGTGTTTCTTTTTTACAATTAGAAATGATTACTGTTCAGTGGGAAGGTCCAATGTTTCCTTTAGATAACAATTTTGTTAGTTAACTGGTGAAATGATTTACTTATTCCACATCTGATTCTGGGGAGAGTTTGAAGCAGCTATACCTATGCTGTACTAATCATTATCCATTGCATGTTAGCTATTTAAAATAGCAGACAGTTGCTTGAGGGCAGGTACCAAGCCTCAGCCATATATCTCCTTTACCTAGAATGCAGCCTGGTACCTAAGGATAATGATAGGCACCATTTTACTGAGCTTTCACTAGGTGCCAGGCACTTTAATTATATTGTCTTATTGAATCATCACAGTAATCCTATGGCATAAATGCTGTTACCTCTCCATTTTTATGGATTAAGCATCTCTAATGCAGAGAGGCTAGTAAACAGGCCCAAGATCCCAACTATGAAGGGTGGGGCTGGGGTTAAATGCCATTGGCTAGAGTCCAGGACCAGGCCCTTAGACACTATGCTATTCTGTCTTACTTATTTTATGTTGAGGACCCAGGCCCTCTTTCTCACCAGGGTCATTTACAAATGCAACACAGAATCACATTTTTGAAAATTATCTTCCTTCCCAAATTATCATGGTTTATAATCCTGCCTACTATTTCTCTTAAATTTCTGAAATATGCCTTCAAAAACATAGCATATACATTCAATTTTGCCCAACTGTTTCTCTTTTTGCTACCATGAGGTAATATGACAATATTCTTTCAAGTTCTTGAAATTTCCACTTCACTAACCCTTTCTTCTTGGTGGTCAGAAGAAAGTCTAAGGTGAGACTTTTGATCACTTCCTTCACCATCTGCCACCCCTCTCTCCAATTCAGTATCTTTTGTGTAGGTCACACTGTTCTATATCAATGTTCCCAACTGGAGTTTCTTCCTGTTAAACTTTGGGATTCCATATAAGCGTATTTTCCATACTATTTTAATTTCTCCTAATATGTTATGTGTTTTGTTTTACAGATGTTGAGAGCAATATTGTTTGTTATGTGAATAAGTGGATTTCTTTGAATAAATCATGGCCACTGTTGTCATTTAAAAGTCCTAGCTGCTTTCTTCTGTAGGGGTTTATTTCATGAATTTATTTAGATATTTCTCTTTTGGTCTTAGACCAATAACCATTTAAAAGACATATCTCCCCATAGTGTCCTTGGATTTTTAGATTGAATGTCCTGCCTTTGGAATGACCAAAAACAATTCCAATTACCTATAACTAAAACAATTCAAAGATGGACAGAATAGTAAGTAACACCAGCTCAGAATCAAGGCTTTACGTGGATGATTCCCTGCTTCCTTCTTCAAGGTCGGGGTGGGTTTTGCAAGATGCTGGACACTAGAGGACAGTCCAAATGGTCATCACAAGTTTATCCTTCGTTGGAGGTTTTTTTTTTCACAATGACATAGAGAAACATGAAAAAGATACATAAACATTGGGATTTAAGGTTTATAGGCTTCTCAAACATGGCATAAGGCTATCATGTCTATTATTTGAATTAAGCAACAGGGAAGGAGAGGGTAGCACAGCTGTGTTTTTGGGAGAAAAAAAATCTGACCTATTTCATGGTGTGCATGTGTGTGTGTGTGTGTGTGTGTGTGTGCATATGCACACAGGTATATTAGCAAAGTTAAGATTCTCTGATCACTGAAGCCTTTTCCTTCTTTTTCATCTTAACATCCTCTTGGTGAGACCAGTTGGCTTGGAAGTTAAATATAACCCTAGCTAAGAGCTTACAGATTTATTATCTTAAATTTTGCTCCAGAAATCCAAATTATATTCATTAATATAGTTCCCGTGTTCTTCTCTCCTTTCCAGGTTCAAATCCTTGCCCAGGCTTCTAGACCACCTGCCTTCTTATTGTAAACCTTACTGACCCATAGGTCCTTGTTTTTTAGTTTCTTAATGCTCTGGCTCTGTTTCTGGAGGGAGTTTCCTAAGCATGCCTTCCTAATGATTTGGAGTCTCATTTCTGTCTCCAGATCTCAGGGTCCTACTCAAGTCCTCTCCATTCTATTGATGTCAATTTTGAGTTTCCTCCAATGACCTAACTAGTCACTGGAGAAGCTAGAGTTTCAATCCAGGAGAAATTTACACCAAAGGGCAGCTGTTTTCACAAACTTGTGCAGCTTTCCTGTCGGAGGGTTTCATCATTGTTCCATGGAATACAAGCTGTCACTTTCTCTAGAAAGTCAGTCTCCCATTGTGGAGGGTTTTCCTGAATGCAGAGCACCATGTGGGCTGACTTTTGGATTTCATTCTTATGTAAGGGAGGGGTTAAAGAGATTCCTTATTAAGGTGCAGGCTTGAGTCTTGTTCACTGCCAGGGACAAAGCACATTTCTATTCTCCGTTTTGTATGATGTTTTCTTTAAGACATAATTGCACTCTTTCTAGAGGAGAACCTGTGTAGGATGGTCCTGTTCCAATACCTGCAGAATGTGGCTATAGGACTCAGGAGGTAGAGAAGGTCAAGATTATCCCAGGGTGTTCCTGGCTTACCTTCCATATATGTCCCTAGAGATGCAACATTTATGGAAAGGAGCTGGTTTAAAAGGGGATGCCTATGTGAGAATATGAGGAAATGGGCTATTTTTAGCTTTGCTATGCTTTAAAGCTCAGAAAATCAGGAGCCATATAGAGGATTAACCCAATCTCTTTCCTGCTGTGCTGCTACTGAAAAAGACTCTGAAGGCGTTACGGCCTGACTTTCATTAAGAACGTCTCAGTCATCGAGTTGAATCAGGACCTGACTCTGGGGTGGGATTGCTTTGCAGGGATGTATTCCAAGAGGCTTTGTAGCGAACCCATTACTTTAGACACGGCCAAGAAGGAGAATGCGGTTTTGTTTGGTGAAAAAATAAGATTGCAGCCATCAGGGAAAATAGGAAAGGAGAGGAATTTCTGATGAGAGTTTTTACCTTGGTATCAGGACCCCTAAAGCTACAGCCTGTGACTAATTGGATCAAACCCATAAGTCAGGACATGCCTGGGTTAAGCTCTAAATAATGTCTAAGGACAATGGCTTAGTTCCACAGCCCTGGACAGGCTCATCACATCTAATCCATGGAAAGAAGGAGGGAATTCAAAATGTATGAATCACCTCCTAGAGGGGCTTGGTACTTGAATTATGTTATTTTATTTACTCTTAAAAACCCTTTGAGAATGAGAACTGTTATTATTATTCACATTTCATAATTAAGTTACAGAAGCTCAGGAAGACTCAGTAAGTAGCTCAAGATCACAGAGCTGGTAAGTGGCAGAACCTGGGTCTGACATCATGGCCCGTAATTTGGAAGGGCAGATCATTGGGTCTTGTCTATTTAATCTTAACCAAATGGTGACCCCCAGTATAGGATATGCTTTGTTTTACACACACACACACACACACACACACACACACACACAGAGCAAATAATGACTTGTGAGCATCTGTAGAGAAAGTGTGATTACTAGGACACAGACGAGTTTATTCAGAACAAGCCGTTTTTGATTAACTTCGTTTTTTTGTTGTTGGTGGTAAGGTTACTAGATAAAACAAGTTGTGAGGAGTGACCCTAATAATTGTTACTGGAAATAGCAATTGTGACTGTAGATAGCTTCTCATGAGCAGATTACCAGGAGAACATTACTCAGATCCCCTCACCCTTTGCAAGCATTTCCTCACTTCATTTGACACTGGACCCCTGCTGGTGACCCTGCTTAGAATTGATTACTTGGAATCAGTTTGGGTCTATGTTATGTTCCAAGCTCCTGATGCATTACTCATGACTAACACTGCTTCTCCCCTCCCACTTTTCTTTTGGCTTCTGCATTTGTAACTGTCAAGAACCCTTCCAGTTTTGAAGACTGCTATGTCTTCCAGTCTCTGCTGAGGATGGCATCAGTTGTAAGTTTTTACATAAACATGACAAGTACCTTGAATATATAAATAGACAAGGGCGGGTTCCTGAGAAGGGAGTAAAGTGGCCATGGATCTAGGGATGCAGGGCAGGAGTGGAAATGAGTAGGCAGCAGAGCCAAGCTTCATCAGTGAAAGGACAAGTGATGTATTTTTTTTTTTAATTTTATTTATTTATTTATTTATTTATTTATTTATTTATTTATTATACTTTAAGTTTTAGGGTACATGTGCACATTGTGCAGGTTAGTTACATATGTATACATGTGCCATGCTGGTGCGCTGCACACACTAACTCATCATCTAGCATTAGGTATATCTCCCAGTGCTATCCCTCCCCCCTCCCCCCACCCCACGACAGTCCCCAGAGTGTGATATTCCCCTTCCTGTGTCCATGTGATCTCATTGTTCAATTCCCACCTATGAGTGAGAATATGCGGTGTTTGGTTTTTTGTTCTTGCGATAGTTTACTGAGAATGATGACTTCCAATTTCATCCATGTCCCTACAAAGGACATGAACTCATCATTTTTTATGGCTGCATAGTATTCCATGGTGTATATGTGCCACATTTTCTTAATCCAGTCTATCATTGTTGGACATTTGGGTTGGTTCCAAGTCTTTGCTATTGTGAATAATGCCGCAATAAACATACGTGTGCACGTGTCTTTATAGCAGCATGATTTATAATCCTTTGGGTATATACCCAGTAATGGGATGTCTGGGTCAAATGGTATTTCTAGTTCTAGATCCCTGAGGAATCGCCACACTGACTTCCACAATGGTTGAACTAGTTTACAGTCCCACCAACAGTGTAAAAGTGTTCCTATTTCTCCACATCCTCTCTAGCACCTGTTGTTTCCTGACTTTTTAATGATTGCCATTCTAACTGGTGTGAGATGGTATCTCATTGTGGTTTGATTTGCATTTCTCTGATGGCCAGTGATGGTGAGCATTTTCTCATGTGTTTTTTGGCTGCATAAATGTCTTCTTTTGAGAAGTGTCTGTTCATGTCCTTCACCCACTTTTTGATGGGGTTGTTTGTTTTTTTCTTGTAAATTTGTTGGAGTTCATTGTAGATTCTGGATATTAGCTCTTTGTCAGATGAGTAGGTTGCAAAAATTTTCTCCCATTTTGTAGGTTGCCTGTTCACTCTGATGGTAGTTTCTTTTGCTGTGCAGAAGCTCTTTAGTTTAATTAGATCCCATTTGTCAATTTTGTCTTTTGTTGCCATTGCTTTTGGTGTTTTAGACATGAAGTCCTTGCCCATGCCTATGTCCTGAATGGTAATGCCTAGGTTTTCTTCTAGGGTTTTCATGGTTTTAGGTCTAACATTTAAGTCTTTAATCCATCTTGAATTGATTTTTGTATAAGGTGTAAGGAAGGGAACCAGTTTCAGCTTTCTACATATGGCTAGCCAGTTTTCCCAGCACCATTTATTAAATAGGGAATCCTTTCCCCATTGCTTGTTTTTGTCAGGTTTGTCAAAGATCAGATAGTTGTAGATATGCGGCATTATTTCTGAGGGCTCTGTTCTGTTCCATTGATCTATATCTCTGTTTTGATACCAGTACCATGCTGTTTTGGTTACTGTAGCCTTGTAGTATAGTTTGAAGTCAGGTAGTGTGATGCCTCCAGCTTTGTTCTTTTGGCTTAGGATTGACTTGGCGATGCGGGCTCTTTTTTGGTTCCATATGAACTTTAAAGTAGTTTTTTCCAATTCTGTGAAGAAAGTCATTGGTAGCTTGATGGGGATGGCATTGAATCTGCAAATTACCTTGGGCAGTATGGCCATTTTCACGATATTGATTCTTCCTGCCCATGAGCATGGAATGTTCTTCCATTTGTTTGTATCCTCTTTTATTTCATTGAGCAGTGGTTTGTAGTTCTCCTAGAAGAGGTCCTTCACATCCCTTGTAAGTTGGATTCCTAGGTATTTTATTCTCTTTGAAGCAATTGTGAATGGGAATTCACTCATGATGTGGCTCTCTGTTTGTCTGTTGTTGGTGTATAAGAATGCTTGTGATTTTTGTACATTGATTTTGTATCCTGAGACTTTGCTGAAGTTGCTTATCAGCTTAAGGAGATTTTGGGCTGAGACAATGGGGTTTTCTAGATATACAATCATGTCATCTGCAAACAGGGACAATTTGACTTCCTCTTTTCCTAATTGAATACCCTTTATTTCCTTCTCCTGCCTAATTGCCCTGGCCAGAACTTCCAACACTATGTTGAATAGGAGTGGTGAGAGAGGGCATCCCTGTCTCGTGCCAGTTTTCAAAGGGAATGCTTCCAGTTTTTGCCCATTCAGTATGATATTGGCTGTGGGTTTGTCATAGATAGCTCTTATTTTGAGATACGTCCCATCAATACCTAATTTATTGAGAGTTTTTAGCATGAAGGGTTGTTGAATTTTGTCAAAGGCTTTTTCTGCATCTATTGAGATAATCATGTGGTTTTTATCTTTGGCTCTGTCTATATGCTGGATGACATTTATTGATTTGCGTATATTGAACCAGCCTTGCATCCCAGGGATGAAGCCCACTTGATCATGGTGGATAAGCTTTTTGATGTGCTGCTGGATTCGTTTTGCCAGTATTTTATTGAGGATTTTTGCATCAATGTTCATCAAGGATATTGGTCTAAAATTCTCTTTTTTCGTTGTGTCTCTGCCTGGTTTTGGTATCAGAATGATGCTGGCCTCATAAAATGAGTTAGGGAGGATTTCCTCTTCTTCTATTCATTGGAATAGTTTCAGAAGGAACGGTACCAGCTCCTATTTATACCTCTGGTAGAATTCGGCTGTGAATCCATCTGGTCCTGGACTCTTTTTGGTTGGTAAGCTATTGATTATTGCCACAATTTCAGAGCCTGTTATTGGTCTATTCAGAGATTCAACTTCTTCCTGGTTTAGTCTTGGGAGAGTGTATGTGTCGAGGAATTTATCCATTTCTTCTAGATTTTCTTGTTTATTTGCGTAGAGGTGTTTGTAGTATTCTCTGATGGTAGTTTGTATTTCTGTGGGATCGGTGGTGATATCCCCTTTATCATTTTTTATTGTGTCTATTTGATTCTTCTCTCTTTTTTTCTTTATTAGTCTTGCTAGTGGTCTATCAATTTTGTTGATCCTTTCAAAAAACCAGCTCCTGGATTCATTAATTTTTTGAAGGGTTTTTTGTGTCTCTATTTCCTTCAGTTCTGCTCTGATTTTAGTTATTTCTTGCCTTCTGCTAGCTTTTGAATGTGTTTGCTCTTGCTTCTCTAGTTCTTTTAATTGTGATGTTAGGGTGTCAATTTTGGATCTTTCCTGCTTTCTCTTGTGGGCATTTAGTGCTATAAATTTCCCTCTACACACTGCTTTGAATGCGTCCCAGAGATTCTGATATGTTGTGTCTTTGTTCTCGTTGGTTTCAAAGAACATCTTTATTTCTGCCTTCATTTCATTATGTATCCAGTAGTCATTCAGGAGCAGGTTGTTCAGTTTCCATGTAGTTGAGCAGTTTTGAGTGAGATTTTTAATCCTGAGTTCTAGTTTGATTGCACTGTGGTCTGAGAGATAGTTTGTTATAATCTCTGTTCTTTTACATTTGCTGAGGAGAGCTTTACTTCCAACTATGTGGTCAATTTTGGAATAGGTGTGGTGCGGTGCTGAAAAAAATGTATATTCTGTTGATTTGGGGTGGAGTGTTCTGTAGATGTCTATTAGGTCTGCTTGGTGCAGAGCTGAGTTCAATTCCTGGGTATCCTTGTTGACTTTCTGTCTCTTTGATCTGTCTAATGTTGACAGTGGGGTGTTAAAGTCTCCCATTACTAATGTGTGGGAGTCTAAGTCTCTTTGTAGGTCACTCAGGACTTGCTTTATGAATCTGGGTGCTCCTGTATTGGGTGCATATATATTTAGGATAGTTAGCTCTTCTTGTTGAATTGATCCCTTTACCATTATGTAATGGCCTTCTTTGTCTCTTTTGATCTTTGTTGGTTTAAAGTCTGTTTTATCAGAGACTAGGATTGCAACCCCTGCCTTTTTTTGTTTTCCATTTGCTTGGTAGATCTTCCTCCATCCTTTTATTTTGAGCCTATGTGTGTCTCTGCATGTGAGATGGGATTCCTGAATACAGCACACTGATTGGTCTTGACTCTTTATCCAATTTGCCAGTCTGTGTCTTTTAATTGGAGCATTTAGTCCATTTACATTTAAAGTTAATATTGTTATGTGTGAATTTGATCCTGTCATTATGATGTTAGCTGGTTCTTTTGCTGGTTAGTTGATGCAGTTTCTTCCTAGTCTCAATGGTCTTTACATTTTGGCATGATTTTGCAGTGGCTGGTACCGGTTGTTCCTTTCCATGTTTAGTGCTTCCTTCAGGAGCTCTTTTAGGGCAGGCCTGGTGGTGACAAAATCTCTCAGCATTTGCTTGTCTGTAAAGTATTTTATTTCTCCTTCACTTATGACGCTTAGTTTGGCTGGATATGAAATTCTGGGTTGAAAATTCTTTTCTTTAAGAATGTTGAATATTGGCCCCCACTCTCTTCTGGCTTGTAGGGTTTCTGCTGAGAGATCTGCTGTTAATCTGATGGGCTTCCCTTTGAGGGTAACCCGACCTTTCTCTCTGGCTGCCCTTAACATTTTTTCCTTCATTTCAACTTTGGTGAATCTGACAATTATGTGTGTTGGAGTTGCTCTTCTCGAGGAGTATCTTTGTGGCATTCTCTGTATTTCCTGAATCTGAACGTTGGCCTGCCTTGCTAGATTGGGGAAGTTCTCCTGGATAATATCCTGCAGAGTGTTTTCCAACTTGGTTCCATTCTCCCCATCACTTTCAGGTACACCAGTCAGACGTAGATTTGGTCTTTTCACATAGTCCCATATTTCTTGGAGGCTTTGCTCATTTCTTTTTATTCTTTTTTCTCTAAACTTCCCTTCTTGCTTCATTTCATTCATTTCATCTTCCATTGCTGATACCCTTTCTTCCAGTTGATTGCATCGGCTCCTGAGGCTTCTGCATTCTTCACGTAGTTCTCGAGCCTTGGTTTTCAGCTCCATCAGCTCCTTTAAGCACTTCTCTATATTGGTTATTCTAGTTATACATTCTTCTAAATTTTTTTCAAAGTTTTCAACTTCTTTGCCTTTGGTTTGAATGTCCTCCCGTAGCTCAGAGTTATTTGATCGTCTGAAGCCTTCTTCTCTCAGCTCGTCAAAGTCATTCTCCATCCAGCTTTGTTCCGTTGCTGGTGAGGAACTGCGTTCCTTTGGAGGAGGAGAGGCACTCTGCTTTTTAGAGTTTCCAGTTTTTCTGTTCTGTTTTTTCCCCATCTTTGTGGTTTTATCTACTTTTGGTCTTTGATGATGGTGATGTACAGATGGGTTTTTGGTGTGGATGTCCTTTCTGTTTGTTAGTTTTCCTTCTAACAGACAGGACCCTCAGCTGCAGGTCTGTTGGAGTAAACTGCTGTGTGAGGTGTCAGTGTGCCCCTGCTGGGGGGGTGCCTCCCAGTTAGGCTGCTCGGGGGTCAGGGACCCACTTGAGGAGGCAGTCTGCCAGTTCTCAGATCTCCAGCTGCGTGCTGGGAGAACCACTGCTCTCTTCAAAGCTGTCAGACAGGGACATTTAAGTCTGCAGAGGTTACTGCTGTCTTTTTGTTTGTCTGTGCCCTGCCCCCAGAGGTGGAGCCTACAGAGGCAGGCAGGCCTCCCTGAACTGTGGTGGGCTCCACCCATTTGGAGCCTCCCGGCTGCTTTGTTTACCTAAGCAAGCCTGGGCAATGGCGGGCGCCCCTCCCCCAGCCTCGCTGCCGCCTTGCAGTTTGATCTCAGACTGCTGTGCTAGCAATCAGCGAGACTCCGTGGGCATAGGACCCTTAGAGCCAGGTGCCGGATATAATCTCATGGTGCACCGTTTTTTAAGCCGGTCGGAAAAGCGCAGTATTTGGGTGGGAGTGACCCGATTTTCCAGGTGCCGTCTGTCACCCATTTCTTTGACTCGGAAAGGGAACTCCCTGACCCCTTGCACTTCCCAAGTGAGGCAATGCCTTGCCCTGCTTCGGCTCGCGCACGGTGCGTGCACCCACTGACCTGCGCCCACTGTCTGGCACTCCCTAGTGAGACGAACCCGGTACCTCAGATGGAAATGCAGAAATCACCCATCTTCTGCGTCGCTCACGCTGGGAGCTGTAGACAGGAGCTGTTCCTATTCGGCCATCTTGGCTCCTCCAGCACAAGTGATGTATTGACTGAATAATGTGAGTCAGCTGAAATATCCCCGTGTGTGACCAAGAGAGGGGATAAAGAAGGCATCAGCTCAGCTGTGTGAGGAAGAGAATGTGCCTGCAGTGGGGGAGACAGCGGCTGTTTTGGCTGTCGCTGTGTAGCAAGTCAGCCCCAAGTATAGTGGCTCAAAATAACAATAATTTATGTAGCTCAAGAACCTGCAGCTTGCGTGGATGTAGTTGGGGGAGGCTTGTGTTTGCTGAATCACCATCCATTGTGGTTGGACTACAGCTGGATTTTCCACCTCCACGGTGGCTCCCTCATGTGGCTGGCTAGCTGCTGCTGGCTGTCGGCTGGGAGCTCAGTGGGGCTGAGGGCCGGGGCCGTGGATCCTTTCTCTGTAGGCCTCTTTTCATGGGCACCTCCACAGGCTGCTTTGGTTTCCTCACAGCATGACGTTTGGGTTACAAGAGTTGGTGTCCCAGAGAACCAGGCAGAGCTTCATCACCTTCGGTGACTTTGCCCCTGCAACGTCACTTTTGCCACATTTGACTTGTGGAGTAAGTCACAGGGGCCGAACCCCATTCAAAGAGAGGGAACATAGACCTCAGTTCTTGATGGGAGTGGTATCAAAATCACATTGTAAGAAGAGTAGGTGGAATGGAGGACATTGTTGTGGCCATATTTAGAAAATACAATCTGCCACCAGAGCTAACAGGGAGAGTCCAAAGGAGAGAAGAGGCTGCAAAATGTTTTCCTGGGCTTTGGCTTCAGGATCTCTGCTCTGTCTTGAATGGATTGTTGTTACCACCAGGTGATTAACTGATGGTGGGAAAACTCACAGAAAAGGTAGTGTGGTTTGTTCTAAGAGTAGTGAAACTTTTGGAGGGAGAGGTAGCCCAATTAATGGCTTGCTGCCACTCCGTTACAGCTTTGATACAATTTGTGGAATTTGTCTTCATTCTGGTCTGGTGCGAGCAAACCGGAGGCTTCTTTCAATTGGAGAAATGGCAGAAGAAGGCCCAAAGAATTTGTGTAGATTAACACATGCCTGTAGTCCCAGCTACTCAAGAAGCTGAGGTGGGAGGTTCATTTGAGTTCAAGGCTGCAGTGATTACACCACTGCACTCCAGCCAGGGCAGCAGAGGGAGACCCTGACTATTTTTTTTTTTAATAATTTATGTAGAATATCATGAGTATATGTGTGTGTGTGAATGTGTGTGTGTGTGTGTGTCTGCATCCATGTGTTCCAGAAAGTGAGTGATACCACAGATCAGCTGGAGTGTATAAAGGTCAGGAATTGCTGCAGACTGTAAGCTGTTGGGACCGATTCAACAATGTGGGAAGATTTGGGCATTGCCCAGACGCTGGGACAGAAAAGTTCAGACCCTAGAGCCCACAGAACAAAAACGATGTTATAGATAGAGCTGTATAGCAGTTTATACATGCCTTTGAGCCTGAGGAGGTTTACTGTGGACAGGAAGAAGCTTCAGGTAACAGCTGTTTCCCCTTGTCTCATGGGAAGCTGTGGCTCTAGTAACATGGAGATTAGGCAAAATTAAGACCCTTTAAAATTGTTAACTGTTATTTCCATAAACATAACTTTTGTTTTTGCTTTTAAGTGCAGGAGAAAAAGTAATATGGAGAAGAATATTGGGTTAGGGAAGTTCATAGCCATGGGAATGATAAATGCCCTGCAAATTAGTAATTATATGGTCTATTTGTTTAAGAAACTGGTACTTTTTAAACAGTTACTGCGTCTCAGTGGGAAAAATCAGCTTTCAGGGGTGTTAAGTGTATCTGTACATATAAGGGCCCGCCCCTGGTTGAGGTGAATGTGTGAGTATGCTGAGTAAATTTCACTTTAAATATGTGATTTTCCTCTTAGGTCTTAACAACCTGAGAGAGTATGATTCTGTGCTTTTTCAAAGCTGCAAAATCTCTATGCATGGGCCAAAAAAATTAGAAAATTCAAGCATCATTTCAACATAAAGTAGTATAAGTAGTAGCTTCCTTAGGATCAGGTGCTAAATTACAAACTTTACCTTTTATTTAATTATACTTGTCAGGCAGTCAGACAACAAGTATTTATTGAGAGCTTTCTCTGTTTCAGATGCTAGTTTAGATGTGGGACAGATAGTGGAAGAATAACCAAGTCTCTACCCTTAAGAAGCTATAGACTAATTTGGTGAGAAAATAAATATGCAAATAAATGCTAACATTTGTATGCATATAAATTAAATAATTTAAGAAACTGGTAAATGCTATGAAGAAAACAAAAATTAGTGGCATTATAGAAGCAAACTCAGGCCATCAGGAGCGCCTCTCTGAAGAGTGGCATCTGAGAAAGAAATAGCCATTGGAAGACCTGACCGAGAAGCATTCCATGGAGAAGATTTTGATGAGATGAATGTGACAGCTTGGAAGGATAGAAATAAGGCCACTGGCTGTGGACAATGAACAAGGGAGTGAAGGGAGGGGGAGGATTTTGAAGAGGTAGACAGGGTTGCAGTACCACAGTAACTTTTGGTTGTGTAAAGAGATTGGTTTCACTCTAATAACAATTAGGAGCTACTGGAGGGTTTCAGTATGAGGGTGGTGCTATCTTAGAATTTGGAAATGTCATTCTGGATGTGTGTGAAGAATGGACTGTAAAGAAACAAGTTTGGAATCAGGAGGTTGCTGCCTTAGTCCAGATAAAAGATGCTGGTGGCTGATTCTAGGAAGTAGCAATGGAGATGGTGAATAGCGATGACTTCTGCTATGCTGTAAAGTTAAACCAGTAGGATTTCCCACATGGTATGGATATGAATTGTGAGGGAAAGAAAGATCAAGGATACCTATTAGCTTTTGGGCTCACAGAACTGAGTTTATGGTCATAACATTCTCTGGAAAGACTGGAATGAGGAGGGTGGGTGTGGAAGTTAATGTTTGACTAGGCTAGTTCAGAGAGATCATTACACATCTAAGTGAAAATGTTGATTTGACATTTGGATATCTGGCTAAAGGTGAAAATTGAGGCTGGAGTAATAGACTTGGGAGTCAGCAGCCTAGAGATGGGACTTAGACCAATGAGACTGGATGAGATCACCTAGGGAGAGAAGAGAGAAGGAGAAAAGGGAAAATGAAAAGGCCAAGGACAAACCTCTGGGGATTGTTAACATTTAGAGATGTAGCGGTGGATGGAACTGCAGAAAAACTGAGATGGAGCTGTAATTGAGGTAGGAGGAAATCCAGGTGAGTGTGGAGTCCTAGGATTCAGGAGAAGAAAGTGTTTGAAGGACTTTATCGTCAGCTTCATCCAATGCTGCTAGAGAAGCCTTATAAAACGAGAACTCAGCATAAACTCTTGGGTTTAGTGGTATAAATGGTTTAGGTGACCCTGATAGAAACCATCTCAGTGGAGTGGTGGAGAGATAATAGAAGACGGAAAGTGGATTCAGTGAGTGTGGAAATTTCTTATGAAGATAAACGGAGAAGCGGGAAAGAGCTGGAAAAGGTTGCATGGTCAAATGGAGTTTTTTTTAAAAGATGGGCAATATTAATGCATGATCTGAAAAGTGGAAGAAGACAGAGAAAGAAAGAGAGAGAGTGAAAGGACGTAGGCATGTAGGTGAGGAGGTGGATTCGAGGATGCAAAGATGAAATTATTTTTATTTGATTATATATATTTTCTTTTTCTTTCTCTATTTCGAGGCTAGGTCATTAGGTGAGAGTGGGAACATATGTTACTAGGAAATGAAATAGTCATGACTGTTGAAGTTGGGTGTTAACTTGAGTCTTGAGGACATAAACCAAAAGTGAGGCCAGTAGCATGGTTGCAGACCTTTTTTTTTTTTTTTTGAATGATTTAGCTCAAGATTTGGCAAATTTCTTCTGTAAAGTGATAGATAGTATTTTAGGCTTTGTGAACCATATAGTTTTCGTCTCACTACTCAATTCTGCCGTTGTAGCATGAAAGTAGCCATAGACAACACAGAAATTAATAAATGTGTCTGTATTCCAATAAAAACTTTTTATAAAAGCAGGCAGTGTTCCATATTTGGTCAAAGGTTATAGCTTGCTGACTCCTGGTTTAGCTGCGCGGGTGTGCATGTGAAGGCGGAAGATACGTGGATAGCAATAGTCTTTTCTCCAACTGAGTATATGGATTGAGAGAGGTGCCAGTGAAACGGGGAGGTTCCCTTGTCCTCCTCACAGGGTGTGCGATGGGGATGTGGCTCGCTTCTTCAGTGCCCCGCTGCTCAAACCTCTAGGGGAGCGTACAGAGGGGCAGGCTGCCGGGCTCCTACCCCATGGCAGTGTCTAGGGGTGAATGTTTACAGCTGAAGCCCCACTGGGCGTGCATTACAGGGTGCTTTTTTTGGGTTTAGCGTCTGTTGGCGGCTTGTGTTAACCAGCTTAATTAGACCCCCTTCCTTGTCACAAGGACAGAGGGATTTCTGTATCCCGGGATTTCTTGCCTTGGTGTACCGGAAGAATCGAATCTTCTTGGCTTGGAGAATGAGCTCAAAGTTTTATTCAATAGAAGTAGCTCTCAGCAGATGCGGAAGCCAGAAGGAGATGGTTTTCCCTTGGAGTCAGGCCGCTCAGTGACCCCGCTCTTCTCTGATGGCTCCGGTCAAACTGTGGTTAGGGTCAAACTCTGCATCATTCCACCAGTCGATGGCCTGCCGACATGCCGGTGCCTGTAGGAGTGCTCTTCCGCTGGTGTGCTCTTCACGACCAGCCACTTGTGTCGTCTTCCGCTGATGTGTTTCTCACGATGTCCCGCTGCTTCTGTCTCTGCCTTGCTAGGGTCTCAGGTTTTCATAGGCCCAGGATGGGGGCGTGGCAGGCCAGGGTGGTCTTGGAAAATGAAACATTTGGGTGCAAAGGCATAAGTGCCTGTCCTCACCTAGGTCCGTGGAGGTGGAGCTCTAGTCAGGAACCCACCTTTCTCTACCCAGCAACCCACCTTTCTCTACCCAGCACTTCCCTTCTGCCTTCCCTATCATTTAAAAGGACTATACTCTTCCCTTCCCAGCACTCCCGTATCACCAGGAGATTCGGAGGGCTTACAAAAGATTTCGATAAATGTGCCAGAGGCTTCAAGTAGGGCAAGGAGGAAAATGAACACATAAGGACAATGATTGACAAGGATTCCAGGTTTCAACGAGATTAGAGAATGTCAGTAGTGGCAATACCAAATCAGTGAGCCGGAAAGACAGGAGAGGGAGGCAAGATACAGAAGGGTGCATGAAAGAGAGATTGTTGGAAGGTGGGGTAGTTACTGGTGGCAATAAGGTCTGAAGGGTGTGTAATTGAAATGCTTTGGAAGGGAAGATTAGGTTGTTGATTGGATTAGCTATGCGTATTACAAGAATGATAATGTAATTGGTGAGGAAAAGGAAAACAGTGATCCAGGCCCTGTGGAAGAGTGACCATGAGGTCAGCAGATGACCATAACCATAAAAGGCAATGAGGGTAAAGTTCAGTGACTTGAACTTCAAAAGAATGGAGGTTTATGAGAGAGGAAAGAGGGTGTTTCAATGGCGAGAACGAAGGATCCTGACCCCACCTCCATTCAGAGCATACGAGGTTGTGAAAAGAAAGGTTGCCACTACTGAGAGAGCTGCAGGTGTGCACAGTAGACAAATGAGATATTTCACTGAATCAAGGAAAGGAAAGTTCAGCCAAAGGCCAAAGCCTGAGAATTTAGTGATGATGGGAGGATGAGTTCCTGTGGTCACAGAGGCTGTTCCCTAAGCTGGAGGAGCTGTGGCCATTGAGAGTACCTGGTGGTTGAGCACCTTGTGGTAGTGGCCTCTTTCCTCCATACAGGGGGCAGGTGGGTGGGCAGCGTAGCAGTCAGGAGAACAAGGCAGTTGGCTTCTGGTCAACCATCCCTTCTGTGATGTGTCAAGATAGATTTTTTTCAAAACCTTTTTTTTTGAATGCACTTTTAATAGACTTGATTGATGATTGGTTTTAATTGACAAATAATAATTGTCTATATTTATAGGGTATAGGGTAATGTTTTGGTCTATGTATCCACTGTAGAAAGATTTAATCAAACTAATTAACATATCCACTCTCCACCAACTTATTGTTGGTGGTGAGAATGTCAAAAATGTTTTCTTTTAGCAATTTTGAAATATATAGTACATTATTATTAACTGTAGTCCCTGTGCAGACCAATAGCTCACTAAAACTTATTCCTCCAGACTAATTGAAACTTTGTGCCCTTTGAGCAACATCTTCCTTTACTCTGTTCCTCCTCCCACCCCAGTCCCTGGTGACCACTGCTCTACTCTCTGCTTCTATGAGGTTGGCTTTTTTAGATTTCACATGTAAGTGAGATGACGTGATGTTTGTCTTTCTGTGCCTGGACTATTTCATCTCTCATAATTTCCATTTCCTTTTATTATAGCAAATACAGTGACCAAATTACATCTGTTCTCAAATTTAAATTGGGATGACTGGAACTTTGTTTAAAACTTATGAAGAAACGAGTTCACATTTAATTAAAATGTGTTTATGTCTCACATTCAGGATAATTATATTCCCACTGCATTTCTGGAAGGGGGTTGAAGGATTTCCAGCCTGCAGCAGATTTCCTAGCTTTGGTTTGGGTGAAGTCAGACTAGATGGTGACAGTGACACCTGGACAAATGGAGAAAGGTGGCAGGATGGACTTCTCTGGGGGAAATTCTGTGTCTACACAGCAGAACACAGTCTAGAAATGTCTTTGCACTGAAGTGAGGGGCATGTGTTAGAGTTTGTCCTCTGGAGGCTGTTTTTTTTTCTTCCATGGGCAGAGCAAGTCTCTGGTAAATCCAGCAGCATAAGATGCCACAAGGGGAGGGATGCTCAATGACAGGTTACAGCTAAGGGCACCGTGGGAGGCGAGAGCTGGGTTTTGCATTCCCGTAAAGGGGTATATTTTAACTTGACATTTCCTTTGCCAACAAAAAGGAAAAGAAAGAAGCATAATGCCATATAATAAAATGATATGGGACAATTGGGGAATGGAAATTAGGCCATATTAATAAAATCTTAATTTTATAATTACATTCTTAAGTGGGGCGATCACCTTACTTGATATTAATTTGGGTGGGGAAGGTTTTTATGGGCAATTATTGTGAAATTTTATATACTCTTTCGTGGGCTGTGAATGAAGGAATAGTAGAACTTAAAACTGAATACAAAGCCACAGGCTCTATTGGGAACACCTGCTACCAGATTCTGATGGAATTTGCTGAGAAGTACAGTGTCATTTTGATTCTGTAATTTCCTCTCTGTGTGTATATGTGTGTTTGCTATATTTGGAAAAGATTTCAGAGTTGTACCAAAGGTGACTGAGAACCAATGTAAATAATTTCAGGGAGTATCTGAAGGCACTGGAATGCAGCAATGCTTCTAGAACTGCAGAGGTAAGCAGGCTGTTCTGCATCCCCCTGGGTGCCACATCAATAGCACCATCTTCATGGAAGAAAAATAATTTCCATTTAAAATTGTAAGTGACACCAGTGATCAGTTTCCTGCAAAGAGCAGGGATCAATAAATGGATTCTAAGCAATTATCAGATTCTAATTATTTTGTATTTCAAAAGATGCCAGAAATCTCTAGGAAAATGTTGAGATTTTTAGGAAAAATGTTGGAATAAAAGGCTAGGAATGCAGAAGTAAGTAGCAAAGGATTGAGGCATTAACTCATCCAATACTTAATATTTTTAAATGAATTTCTTATTCTTATGCTTGTGTCATGCATTATTCCAGGAGTTGAGGGCAACGTAGTGATAAAAACAGAAATCTCTACCCTCATGGAGCTTACATTGTAGTGGATAGAGACAGATTGTAAAAAAATATATAAAGAAGAAAAACACAGATTGGGTAGATAAGAGCTAGGGAGAAAAATGAAGCTGGAAACATGGATACTGAATGGTGTGTGCAAGGAGTCAGTTTTCAATAGGGTGGCAAGGAAAAGCTGTTCTAGGAAATAGGATTTGAGCAAGGATTTCACAATGCAAGGGAGTAAGTGATATTTAAGAATAGATGGTCCAGGCAGAGAGAATAGAGATTGCAAAAGCTGTGACTCTGAAGCATGCTGTGTGCCTCTGCAGACCAGCAAGGGGACACTGTGGTTGGGTGGAGTGAGGTGGGAGTAGTAAGAGATGAGGACAGAAAGTGAAGTGTGGGAGCAGCATGTGCTGAGCCTTGTGCCTTGCAAGTCATTGTAAAACATGCATGGCTTCTCTAACTCAGATGGAGTGGCTTAAGCTGACTTTTCTTTTAACAGGTTTATTCTGGATAAAATAATTGCAATTAGATTGTAAGCCATCAGGAGTGCAAGTAAGAAGATCAATTAAGGGGCCATGGAAAGTTCCAGGTGAGAAATGATAGTTGCTTTGGACTAGGGTGGTAACAATGGAGATGGGCAAAGGGATAATATTCTGGGTATATTTTTGAGGAGATCTATGAGCATTTGCTGACAGATTGAGATGAGAAGTGAGAGAGGCAGAGAAATTAAAGATGAGGCTAAACTTTTGGGTCTGAACAACTGGAAGGGTGGAACTGCCATTCATTGACCTAGAGAAGACTGGAAAGTTGTGGGTGGTAGGGAAGGTCAGGACTTCAGCTTTTTTACCTGCTGCATTTGAGCTGCCTGTTGGGCATGCAAGTAGAGAGGTCTTGTGGCAATCAAATATAAAAGTCTTGAAGTCATAGAAGAGATCAAGGCTGGAGCTCTAAATATGAGTGTTAGCAGCATAATAATAGTATCTAAACCCATGACATGGAATGAGAACACTAAAGGAATGTGTGTAGATGTTTTTTTAAAGGTCAAGTAAAATGCTGAGAATTGGCGATTGGTTTTAGCAACCTAGAGGTCACCAGTGAGTTTGACAAGAGTGGTGGGGATGGTAGAACTGATTGGAGAGGGTCCAAAAGAAAATCAAAGGAGAGAAATTTGAAACAGCAAGCAAATAAAATTATTTTTTTAACTGTATATTAAAGGGTGAGCAGAGAAATAGAGTAGTAGTCGGAGGGGGAAGCAGTGTGAAGAGAACTATTTTATTTTATTTGTTATTTATTTTTTAATATTTAAGAAATGATATCAGGTTTGTGAGTGATCCACTAGAGAGGGAGAAAGTGATGACACAGAAGAGAAGGAGAATTGCTGAGCTCCATTAGTGAACAGATGAGAAGGGCAGTGATCTGGTACATAAGTAAAGGGATTGCCGCTATCTAGCACTTAGAGCAGTTCACGGTATCAGCAGGGAAGGCTAAGTACTTAGGCCCTGATTCTGGTAGGGCATAGAGATGTTGGCATTTATTCAAGATGACTTCTGATTGCTTCTATTTAATTCAGGAAGTTTGGGTGCAGAAAGTGTGAAGGTGGCTAAATCTGCAGATATTTATTCTCTACCAATGAGCTTGGGGCTGGACTGGATGTGATCTGAGATGCTTGGGGGATAGCTTCAAGTGCAGTGGGTGGGATTGGGCCAGTGTCCTTCTATGATGTTTCCTTATGCCCCAACACTACCTTGTCCCCTGCCACCAGGATCCAATTATTGATGTGAGGCCCTGAATTTTGTCTGAATTATTCCTGATTTGTATATTCCATCATTCTAAAAGAATAGACAGAAATAGTGTTTATATATATAATATATATATATATAACATTTATATATAACCTATATATAACATTTATGTATAACATATATATATTTATATATATTTTCTTTATTCAGTCAACAGTTGGGGGGACACTTAAGTTGGTTCCATGACTTTGCTGTTGTAAACAGAGCTGCAATAAACATACGAGTGCGGGTGTTTTTTAATATAATAATTTCTTTTCCTTTGAGTAGATACCAGTCGTGGGATTACTGGGTCAAATGGCAGCCCTATTTCTAGTTCTTTGAGATATCACCATACTATTTTCTATAGAGAATGAACTAATTTACATTCCTACCAAAAGTGTATGAACTTACCTTTTTCACTGCATCCATATCAACATCTGATGTTTTTTGACCTTTTAGTAAAAGCCATTCTGACTTGTATGATATCTCAGTGTGGTTATAAGTTTTATTTCTCTGATTATTAGTGATGTTGAGTATTTTTTCACATGTTTGTTAGTCTTTTGTATTTCTTCTTTTGAGAAATGTCTATTCATATCATTTGTCTGGTTTTTCATGTGGTCTTTTTTTTATTATACTTTAAGTTTTAGGGTACATGTGCACAATGTGCAGGTTAGTTACATATGTATACATGTGCCATGCTGGTGCGCTGCACACACTAACTCGTCATCTAGCATTAGGTATATCTCCCAATGCTATCCCTCCCCCCTCCCCCCACCCCACAACAGGCCCCAGAGTGTGATGTTCCCCTTCCTGTGTGCATGTGTTCTCACTGTTCAATTCCCACCTATGAGTGAGAATATGCGGTGTTTGGTTTTTTGTTCTTGCGATAGTTTACTGAGAATGATGATTTCCAATTTCATCCATGTCCCTACAAAGGACATGAACTCATCATTTTTTATGGCTGCATAGTATTCCATGGTGTATATGTGCCACATTTTCTTAATCCAGTCTATCATTGTTGGACATTTGGGTTGGTTCCAAGTCTTTGCTATTGTGAATAATGCCGCAATAAACATACGTGTGCACGTGTCTTTATAGCAGCATGATTTATAGTCCTTTGGGTATATACCCAGTAATGGGATGTCTGGGTCAAATGGTATTTCTAGTTCTAGATCCCTGAGGAATCGCCACACTGACTTCCACAATGGTTGAACTAGTTTACAGTCCCACCAACAGTGTAAAAGTGTTCCTATTTCTCCACATCCTCTCTAGCACCTGTTGTTTCCTGACTTTTTAATGATTGCCATTCTAACTGGTGTGAGATGGTATCTCATTGTGGTTTGATTTGCATTTCTCTGATGGCCAGTGATGGTGAGCATTTTCTCATGTGTTTTTTGGCTGCATAAATGTCTTCTTTTGAGAAGTGTCTGTTCATGTCCTTCACCCACTTTTTGATGGGTTTGTTTGTTTTTTTCTTGTAAATTTGTTTGAGTTCATTGTAGATTCTGGATATTAGCTCTTTGTCAGATGAGTAGGTTGCAAAAATTTTCTCCCATTTTGTAGGTTGCCTGTTCACTCTGATGGTAGTTTCTTTTGCTGTGCAGAAGCTCTTTAGTTTAATTAGATCCCATTTGTCAATTTTGTCTTTTGTTGCCATTGCTTTTGGTGTTTTAGACATAAAGTCCTTGCCCATGCCTATGTCCTGAATGGTAATGCCTAGGTTTTCTTCTAGGGTTTTCATGGTTTTAGGTCTAACATTTAAGTCTTTAATCCATCTTGAATTGATTTTTGTATAAGGTGTAAGGAAGGGAACCAGTTTCAGCTTTCTACCTATGGCTAGCCAGTTTTCCCAGCACCATTTATTATATAGGGAATCCTTTCCCCATTGCTTGTTTTTGTCAGGTTTGTCAAAGATCAGATAGTTGTAGATATGCGGCATTATTTCTGAGGGCTCTGTTCTGTTCCATTGATCTATATCTCTGTTTTGATACCAGTACCATGCTGTTTTGGTTACTGTAGCCTTGTAGTATAGTTTGAAGTCAGGTAGTGTGATGCCTCCAGCTTTGTTCTTTTGGCTTAGGATTGACTTGGCGATGCGGGCTCTTTTTTGGTTCCATATGAACTTTAAAGTAGTTTTTTCCAATTCTGTGAAGAAAGTCATTGGTAGCTTGATGGGGATGGCATTGAATCTGCAAATTACCTTGGGCAGTATGGCCATTTTCACGATATTGATTCTTCCTGCACATGAGCATGGAATGTTCTTCCATTTGTTTGTATCCTCTTTTATTTCCTTGAGCAGTGGTTTGTAGTTCTCCTTGAAGAGGTCCTTCACATCCCTTGTAAGTTGGATTCCTAGGTATTTTATTCTCTTTGAAGCAATTGTGAATGGGAATTCACTCATGATGTGGCTCTCTGTTTGTCTGTTGTTGGTGTATAAGAATGCTTGTGATTTTTGTACATTGATTTTGTATCCTGAGACTTTGCTGAAGTTGCTTATCAGCTTAAGGAGATTTTGGGCTGAGACAATGGGGTTTTCTAGATATACAATCATGTCATCTGCAAACAGGGACAATTTGACTTCCTCTTTTCCTAATTGAATACCCTTTATTTCCTTCTCCTGCCTAATTGCCCTGGCCAGAACTTCCAACACTATGTTGAATAGGAGTGGTGAGAGAGGGCATCCCTGTCTTGTGCCAGTTTTCAAAGGGAATGCTTCCAGTTTTTGCCCATTCAGTATGATATTGGCTGTGGGTTTGTCATAGATAGCTCTTATTATTTTGAGATACATCCCATCAATACCTAATTTATTGAGAGTTTTTAGCATGAAGGGTTGTTGAATTTTGTCAAAGGCCTTTTCTGCATCTGTTGAGATAATCATGTGGTTTTTGTCTTTGGTTCTGTTTATATGCTGGATTACATTTATTGATTTGCGTATATTGAACCAGCCTTGCATCCCAGGGATGAAGCCCACTTGATCATGGTGGATAAGCTTTTTGATGTGCTGCTGGATTCGTTTTGCCAGTATTTTATTGAGGATTTTTGCATCAATGTTCATCAAAGATATTGGTCTAAAATTCTCTTTTTTCGTTGTGTCTCTGCCTGGCTTTGGTATCAGGATGATGCTGGCCTCATAAAATGAGTTAGGAAGGATTCGCTCTTTTTCTTTTTCTTTTTTTTTTTTTTGAGAGTGCTCTAACTTTATTATCCGTGTGAGAAAGTACATAGTGTGAGGAAGTGAAAGAAAAGAATCCCAAGCTGACTATTGATTGCAATGCTTCTGGGGCAACGGCACCTCCGTGCTGTGACTTTTTTTGCTGGGCAGCCTGGGATCACTCTACGGATTCCCTCTTTTTCTATTGATTGGAATAGTTTCAGAAGGAATGGTACCAGTTCCTTCTTGTACCTCTGGTAGAATTTGGCTGTGAATCCATCTGGTCCTGGACTCTTTTTGGTTGGTAAGCTATTGATTATTGCCACAATTTCAGCTCCTGTTATTGATCTATTCAGAGATTCAGCTTCTTCCTGGTTTAGTCTTGGGAGAGTGTATTTGTCAAGGAATTTATCCATTTCTTCTAGATTTTCTAGTTTATTTGCGTAGAGTTGTTCATAGTATTCTCTGATAGTAGTTTGTATTTCTGTGGGATCAGTGGTGATATCCCTTTTATCATTTTTGATTGCATCTATTTGATTCTTCTCCCTTTTTTTCTTTATTAGTCTTGCTAGCGGTTTATCAATTTTGTTGATCCTTTCAAAAAACCAGCTCCTGGATTCATTAATTTTTTGAAGGGTTTTTTGTGTCTCTATTTCCTTCAGTTCTGCTCTGATTTTAGTTATTTCTTGCCTTCTGCTAGCTGTTGAATGTGTTTGCTCTTGCTTTTCTAGTTCTTTTAATTGTGATGTTAGGGTTTCAGTTTTGGATCTTTCCTGCTTTCTCTTGTGGGCATTTAGTGCTACAAATTTCCCTCTACACACTGCTTTGAATGCGTCCCAGAGATTCTGTTATGTTGTGTCTCAAAGAACATCTTTATTTCTGCCTTCATTTCATTATGTACCCCGTAGTCATTCAGGAGCAGGTTGTTCAGTTTCCATGTAGTTGAGCGGTTTTGAGTGAGATTCTTAATGCTGAGTTCTAGTTTGTTTGTACTGTGGTCTGAGAGATAGTTTGTTATAATTTCTCTTCTTTTACATTTGCTGAGGAGAGCTTTACTTCCAAGTATGTGGTCAATTTTGGAATAGGTGTGGTGTGGTGCTGGAAAAAAATGTATATTCTGTTGATTTGGGGTGGAGAGTTCTGTAGATGTCTATTACGTCCGCTTGGTGCAGAGCTGAGTTTAATTCCTGGATATCCTTGTTGACTTTCTGTCTCTTTGATCTGTCTAATGTTGACAGTGGGGTGTTAAAGTCTCCCATTACTAATGTGTGGGAGTCTAAGTCTCTTTGTAGGTCACTCAGGACTTGCTTTATGAATCTGGATGCTCCTGTATTGGGTGCATATATATTTAGGATAGTTAGCTCTTCTTGTTGAATTGATCCCTTTACCATTATGTAATGACCTTCTTTGTCTCTTTTGATCTTTGTTGGTTTAAAGTCTGTTTTATCAGAGACTAGGATTGCAACCCCTGCCTTTTTTTGTTTTCCATTTGCTTGGTAGATCTTCCTCCATCCTTTTATTTTGAGCCTATGTGTGTCTCTGTACGTGAGATGGGTTTCCTGAATACAGCACACTGATTGGTCTTGACTCTTTATCCAATTTGCCAGTCTGTGTCTTTTAATTGGAGCATTTAGTCCATTTACATAAAGTTAATATTGTTATGTGTGAATTTGATCCTGTCATTATGATGTTAGCTGGTTCTTTTGCTGGTTAGTTGATGCAGTTTCTTCCTAGTCTCAATGGTCTTTACATTTTGGCATGATTTTGCAGTGGCTGGTACCGGTTGTTCCTTTCCATGTTTAGTGCTTCCTTCAGGAGCTCTTTTAGGGCAGGCCTGGTGGTGACAAAATCTCTCAGCATTTGCTTGTCTGTAAAGCAATTTTTATTTCTCCTTCACTTATGAAGCTTAGTTTGGCTGGATATGAAATTCTGGCTTGAAAATTCTTTTCTTTAAGAATGTTGAATATTGGCCCCCACTCTCTTCTGGCTTGTAGGGTTTCTGCTGAGAGATCCGCTGTTAGTCTGATGGGCTTCCCTTTGAGGGTAACCCTACCTTTCTCTCTGGCTTCACTTAACATTTTTTCCTTCATTTCAACTTTGGTGAATCTGACAATTATGTGTGTTGGAGTTGCTCTTCTCGAGGAGTATCTTTGTGGCGTTCTCTGTATTTCCTGAATCTGAACGTTGGCCTGCCTTGCTAGATTGGGGAAGTTCTCCTGGATAATATCCTGCAGAGTGTTTTCCAACTTGGTTCCATTCTCCCCATCACTTTCAGGTACACCAGTCAGACGTAGATTTGGTCTTTTCACATAGTCCCATATTTCTTGGAGGCTTTGCTCATTTCTTTTTATTCTTTTTTCTCTAAACTTCCCTTCTTGCTTCATTTCATTCATTTCATCTTCCATTGCTGATACCCTTTCTTCCAGTTGATTGCATCGGCTCCTGAGGCTTCTGCATTCTTCACGTAGTTCTCGAGCCTTGGTTTTCAGCTCCATCAGCTCCTTTAAGCACTTCTCTGTATTGGTTATTCTAGTTATACATTCGTCTAAATTTTTTTCCAAGTTTCAACTTCTTTGCCTTTGGTTTGAATGTCCTCCCGTAGCTCAGAGTAATTTGATCGTCCGAAGCCTTCTTCTCTCAGCTCGTCAAAGTCATTCTCCATCCAGCTTTGTTCCGTTGCTGGTGAGGAACTGCGTTCCTTTGGAGGAGGAGAGGCACTCTGCTTTTTAGCGTTTCCAGTTTTTCTGCTCTGTTTTTTCCCCATCTTTGTGGTTTTGTCTACTTTTGGTCTTTGATGATGGTGATGTACAGATGGGTTTTTGGTGTGGATGTCCTTTCTGTTTGTTAGTTTTCCTTCTAACAGACAGCACCCTCAGCGGCAGGTCTGTTGGAGTACCTGGCCGTGTGAGGTGTCAGTGTGCCCCTGCTGGGGGGTGCCTCCCCGTTAGGCTGCTCAGGGGTCAGCGGTCAGGGAATCACTTGAGGAGGCAGTCTGCCCGTTCTCAGATCTCCAGCTGCGTGCTGGGAGAACCACTGCTCTCTTCAAAGCTGTCAGACAGGGACATTTAAGTCTGCAGAGGTTACTGGTGTCTTTTTGTTTTTCTGTGCCCTGCCCCCAGAGGTGGAGCCTACAGAGGCAGGCAGGCCTCCTTGAGCTGTGGTGGGCTCCACCCCGTTCGAGCTTCCCTGCTGTTTTGTTTACCTAAGCAAGCCTGGGCAATGGTGGGCACCCCTCCCCTAGCCTCGCTGCCACCTTGCAATTTGATCTCAGACTGCTGTGCTAGCAATCAGTGAGACTCCGTGGGCGTAGGACCCTCTGAGCCAGGTGCAGGGTATAATCTCCTGGTGCGCTGTTTTTTAAGCCCGTCAGAAAAGCGCAGTGTTCAGATGGGAGTGACCCGATTTTCCAGGTGCCGTCTGTCACCCCTTTCTTTGACTAGGAAAGGGAACTCCCTGACCCCTTGCGCTTCCCGAGTGAGGCAATGCCTCGCCCTGCTTCGGCTCACGCACGGTGTATGCACCCACTGACCTGCGCCCACTGTCTGGCACTCCCTAGTGAGATGAACCCGGTACCTCAGACGGAAATGCAGAAATCACCCGTCTTCTGCGTCGCTCATGCTGGGAGCTGTAGACAGGAGCTGTTCCTATTCGGCCATCTTGGCTCCTCCTCCAAACTCATGTGGTCATTTGTTTTTTCTTGTTGAGTTGTTTGAGTTCTTATAGATTCTGGATGTTACTCCTTTGCCAGAGGGATACTTTGTAAATATTGTCTCCCATTCCGTAGGTCATTTGTTTATTCTGTTGTTTATGTCTTTTGCTGTGCAGAAGCGTTTTAGTTTAATTAGTCTTGTTTACCTATTTTTGGTTTTGTTGTATTTGTTTTTGGGGTCTTCATCATAAATTCTTTGCCTAGATTGATATCTGGAAGAGTTTTTCCTAGGTTTTGTTCTAGAATTTTTATAGTTGCAGGTCTTACATTTAGGTCTTTAATCCATCCTGAGTTAATTCTCATATATGATGAGAGATAGGGGTCCAGTTTCATTTTTCTGCATATAGCTAGTCAGTTATCCCACACCAATTTATTGAATACAGTGTCGTTTCCCCATTGTTTATTTTTGTCCATTTTATTAGAAGATCAATTGATTGTAAGTATGCAGCTTTATTACTGGGGTCTTTATTTTGTTCCATTGATCTATGTGTATATTTTTGCACCAGTAACTTGCTGTTTTAGTTACTATAGTCTTGTGTTATAATTTGAAGTCAGGCAATGTGATGCCTCCAGATTTGTTCTTTATGCCTTTAAGTGCTTTGGATATTTGGGCTTTTTATTGGTTCCATAACAACTTTAGGATTTTTTTCTAATTCTGTATGAAAAGACTGGTAATTTGATAGGAATAGCATTTAATCTGTAGATCACTTTGGGCAGTATGACCATTTTAACAATATTGATTCTTCCAATCTATGACAATGAGATGTTTTCCCATTTGTTTGTGTCATCTATGATTTATTTCTTTCTCTTGTCTCATTTCTCTGGCTAGGACTTCCAGTACTATGAGTATTGAAGTAGTGAGAGTGGACATTTCTCTTGTTCCTGTTCTTAGGGGAAATGTTTTCACTTTTTTTTTTCATTCAGCCTGATGTTGGTTGTGGATTTGTCATATATGGGTCTTATTATTTGAGGTATGTTCCTGTGATGCCTAGTTTGTTGAGGGTTTTTATGATGAAGGGATGTTGGATTTTGTTGAATGGTTTTTTTTTCATCTATTGAGATGATCATGTGATTTTTGTTCTTAGTTCTGTCTGCGTAGCAGATCGTTAATTTGCACATGCAGAACCATCCTTGTATCCCTGGAATTAAGCACACTTGATTATGGAGAATTATTTTTTTGATATGCTGTTGGATTCAGTTTGCTAGTATTTTGCTGAGGATTTTTGCATCTGTGTTCATTAGGCATACTGGCTTGTTGTTTTCTTTTTTTGTTGTGTTCTTGCCAGATTTTGGTATCAGGGTGTCACTGGGTAGAAAGATTTAGGGAGGAATCCATCCTGTTTGATTTGTTGGAATACTTTCAGTAAGATTGGTGCCAGCTGTTCTTTGTATATCTGGTAAAATTTTGGCTGTGAATCCATCTGGTCCTGGGATTTTTAAGGGGGATTTAAAAAAATTAATGATTTAATTTCATTATTTATTATTGGTCTGTTCAGGACTTTTGTTTTTTCCTGGTTCCATCTTGGGAAGTTACACGTTTCAAGGATTTTTTTTCACTTCTTCTAGATTTTCTAGTTTTTGAGTATAGAGGTGTTCATAATAGTCTCTGATGATCTGTGTTTTTCTGGTGTCAGTTGTGATGTCATCTTTATCATTCCTGATTGTACTTATTTAAATTGTTCCTTTTTTTTTTTTTTTTGAGAGGGATTAGTCTAGCTAGTGGTCTGTCAATTTTGCCTATTCTTTGGAAGAACCAATATTTCATTTTGTTAATTCTTTATATCATTTTTTTGTTTCAATTTCATTTAGCTTTGCTCTGATCTTTGTTATTTATTTTCTTCTGCTACTTTTGGGTTTTGTTCTTGTTTTTCTACTTCTTTAGGTGTGATTGTTAATTTGAGATTTTTCTGTCTTTTTGGTGTAGGCATTTAATGCCATAAACTTTCCTCTTAGCATTTTTTTTTGCTGAATACCAGAGGTTTTAGCATGTTGCATCTCTATTTTCACTCATTTCAAAGAATTTTTTGATTTCTGCCTTAATTTCATTGTTTACCCAAAAGTCATTCAGGAGCAAGTTGTTTCATTCCCATGTACTTGTGTAGTTTTGAGGGTTCCTCTTGGTATTGATTTCTAATTTTATTCCATTGTGGTCTGAGAAGATACTTGATGAAATTTTAACTTTTTAAAAAATTTATTGAGACTTGTCTTATGGTCAAGCCTATGCTAAATTTTGGGGAATGCTTCATGCACAGATGAGAAGAATATATATTCTGTGGTTGTTGGGTAGATTGTTTTACAGATGTCTATTAGGTCCATTTGGTCTGTAGTCCAGTTTACGTCGAGAGTTTCTTTGTTGCTTTTCTGCTTTGATGATTAGTCTAGTGACGGCAGTGGGGTGTTGAAGTCCTCATTATTATTATTATATTATATTATTGTATTGTATTGTATTATTATTATTGTATTGCTGTCAGTCTATATTCTTTGGCTTAGTTGTATTTGTTCTATGCATCTTGGTGCTACAGTGTTGGATGCATATATATTTATGATAGTTAAATATTTTTTCTTTTATTGAACCTTTATTTTTATATAATGCTTTCCTTTGTCTTTTTGTACTGTTGTTGGTGTACAGTCTATCTAAGAATGGCTACTCCTGCTCATGTGTATTTCCAATTGCATCATATATCTTTTTCCACCCTTTTACTTTTAGTCTGAATGTGTCTTTAGCCAGTAGGTGGGCCTCTTGCAGACAACAGGTGGCTGAGTTTTTTAAGAAATCCAATATGCCATTTTGTGTTCTTCAAGTGGGGCACTTAGACCATTTACATTCAGAGTTAATACTGATATGTGAGGTTTTCTTCCTAATGTAGTGTTGTTGGCTAGTTGTTTTGGAGTTTTGATTGTGAATTTGCTTTATGGGATCTGTGAGCTTTGTATTTATGTGTCCTTTTTTTTTGGTATTATTCTTTCATTACCATATTTAGAACTCCTTTGAGCATTTCTTGTAGGACTGGTCTAGTGGTAACAAATTCTCTAGCAATTACTTTTCTGGGAAAGACCTTATTTCTCCTTTATTTATGAGGCTTAGTTTGGTAGGATGCAAAATTATTGGGTGGCACTTTTTTTTTTCTTTAAGGAGGCTAGAAATAGGCCACCAATATTATCTGGATGTAGGGTTTCTGTTGAAAACTCTACTGTTTGTCTGATCAGTATTACTTTGTAGGTGATTTGACCCTTTTCTCCAGTTGCCTTTAAGATCTTTTTCTTTATTGTTGACCTTGGATAGACTGATGACTGTACGCCTTGGTAATTGTCATTTTGTATGGTGTGTCACAGGTGTTCTATGGGTTCCTTTATCTGGATGTCTACCTCTCTAACAATATTAAGAATATTTTCTTGAATTATTCTCTTAAATATGTTTTCCAAGTTGCTTATGTTTTCTTCTCTCTCAGGAATGCCAATAAGTCATAGGTTTGGTCACTTTACATAATCCCATATTTCCTAAAGGCTTTGTACAGTCTTTAAAATTATTTTCCCCTTATTTCTGTCTGATTGTGTTAATTCAAAAGACTGTTTTTCAAGCTCTGAAATTATTTCCTCTGCCTGGTTTACTTTATTGTTAATGCTTTCAATTATATGTTGAAATTTCTTAAGTGAATTTTAAATTCCAGATGTTATGATTGATTTAAAAAAAATTTATCTCTTCCTTCATTTCCTGGATTGCTTTCATAGTTTGTTTGTGGTGACTGTCAATCTCTTCTTGGCATCTTTGAGCTTCCTTGCAATCCATACTTTGAATTTTTTATGTGTCATTTCTGAGTTTCCATTTTATTTACGGTCCATTGTTAGAGAGCTAGTGTAGTGACATCACTTTTGGTGGGTTTCTGCTGGGAAATCTGCAGTCCACCACCTTTGGTGATGTTACAACATTCAGATTTTTCATGGTGCCGGGATTCTTACACTGGTTCCCTCTTCTCTGGAGTCACTGCCACTTCTAACTTTTGAAATTATTTTTGTGCATATATATTGTTTTTCTTTTTTTTTTTTTTCCCTTTCCTCTCCTCCCTAGGGAGTGTGACTATAGAGTATGTTTGGTAGGTTCTTTTGACTTTGCTTCTATAACTCTGTGCACTTCTGGGGGCAGGTTTATATTGGGCTATGTGGTTCAATCCGTAGGCCAGTAGATGGCACTGCAGGTAAGAGCCAAGTGCACCACAAGCAGATGGGTAATTATGGAATCTTTGCTTAATGTGAGGTGCTTTCTGTTGTTTCAGGTGATGGGCTAGACAATGGAGTGCCTGGTGTCCTGAGCTTCCTGTTCAGCAGAGGCAGAGGACTCTCTGGCTTGGCCACAAATTCCCCAATGACAAGAGCAGTCACCAGCCCTAAAGAGGATGGCTGGGGGAAATGTGCTGAGGTCTCTGTGGGGAGGGGTGTGAGGGGGCCTCACTGGCTCAATCTCCTAGATAGGCAGGAATGCAATCTGTTTCTCTTTCACATCCCTGTCTCAGGGTTCATGACTTTCAGTTCAGATGCACACTGTATCCTATCTCTAGAAATCAATATAGCTGAGAACCTTGGAAAATAAATGCCTGTCCTTGAATCTCTCCATGGGAGTGGTTTTGGGGTAGAACCTCTTCACTCAGCATGATATAGTTTTATGGCTTACCTGCTGCAGAAATGCTGCTGCCTTTTATAGGGAGGGCTTCTGCCTCTTGGCCCATGCAGGTGGTGTTGATTGGTTGGATCAGTCCAACCTCAGGCCCTGAGGGAAGTGGCCAGGTGCCAGCAGTGTTGGAATGGGCTAGGTAGTTCCCCACTTCCCAGGGCCCTAGATGGCCCATTGGATGGTGTGTATGAGTCAGGAAGGGGCTGGACCAGGGTCAGGTTAGCCCAGAGTTCAGGTGCTGGCTCAGATGGGGAGGGGTAGGCTAGTTTCTGGGTCTCTAGCAGAACTCTCAGGCAAAAGTAGGCAAAATGCTCAGGTGGTGAGAGATGTGCCTGAAGGCAGATCACAGGGCTATTGGGGCTGGGCTTTCAGAAGGGCTGTGGGCTGCACCTGAAATGTTTAGGCAGGATCAGGATGGCTGTACTCTGGGCCTTTCAATGGGGGAGGGCTGGTCCCCTCAGCTGGACAGTGAAGACTGGCAGCTGTGGGGTGTGTGGTCCACTCCCACTTTCCTCCTGCAGATGTAGTGCTGGATTTCACTGTTAGGGGCACACAAAGGTGCCAGGCTTCCCCACTCCCTCCCTGCCTGGGGTGGTGAGGCAGAGGCAGTGGTAGCAGCAACTGTGGAAGAATTGTCACTGGCTTCTGAGAATTGGGCTCTCAGAAGAATGCTGAGTATCAGCCATAGTGTTCAGACAGGGGTGAGAAGGCTGCATTAGGGGCCTGCCACTGAAGCCAGCAAGTCCCATTTGGTAGGGAGCAATGGAGGTGGGAAGTCATCGGGTGCATAGTCTGCTTGTTGCTCCTCTGCACCTCAGCTACAGTATCTGCACTGGAGGCACTAAGAAAATGCCCTGTCTCCCTGTTCTCTCCTTGGCCCAGGGATGGCAAGGAAGGAGGCAGCAGTGGCAGTGATTCCAAAGGGCTTGTGACCTCTGGGAGTTACAATCTCAGAATAATGCAGAGCTGCAGCCACAGTGTTCAGGCAGGGGTGAGGCAGGTGCTCTGGGGTCCCAAGCTGGCAAGGCCCACTTGGCAGGGAGAAGTGCAGGTGGGGAGTTTAATGATACAGTCTAGAAGCTCCTCAGTACTGTGGCTGCAGCATCTGTTTTTGGGATGTGCAAAAGTTTCTGGCCTCCCTTCTTGGTGGGGTGGTGACAGTTGGTGCTATGTGGGATTGAGTTCTGCCTCTGCACAGGCTCCAGGCAGCTCTCTTTGTTTGTCTGGAGGCCCATGATGAAGGTGTGTATCTCTTGTTGGGGGTCTCTCATTCACTCATTGTTTTCCCACATTAGGGAGCCTCCCTCAGCTCTGCTGGTCCTGGGTGAGCAGCTGCCTGGCTTCACTCCTCTTTGTTCTCTGTGGGTCCTGTTACTTCCCTGATGAATCCCAGTGTGATCTCTTAGAAGATCCACTTGAAGAGTTAGTATTTACTTGTCACTTTGTTTGCTCCCGTGAGAGAGGCATGCACTACCTACTTCTAGTCAGCCATATTGAACTGGAACTTTTTTCTTTTTTAATTTTTTTTCCTTTTAGCATGCCCTATAATTTTTTTTTTTTGAAAGCTGTACCTGATGCATTGGATAAAAGAAACTAAGGTAAATCAACTGTTAGTATGAGATTTTATGTTTATATGGCTAGCAGTTAGACTGTTTATTTATTGTTTGTTATAGTTATAGGTGTCAGAGGCTAAAATTTCCTTTAGTATTCTCTTTTGTTTTTGTCTCTACTGTTGTCTTCAAATTTCCCTAGAGACTTCTTCTTGAATAGAGTCTGAGCCTTGCAGTTCTTTTCAACAGTAATCTGTTATGATATAGGAGAATATAGAATGTTGTAAGGTATTGGGGTAGAGGGAGCCTGTTTACTTATGATCAAGTATCAGTCTTTTGGTGGGCCTGTGCTACTGTGCTGTGACCTTCCCAAGTGCTTCCCAGCTCACTCCCTTCCTCTCTTAGTTGAAACAAAATGGCTGGGTATTTCCCACTTCTATTGTTGGTTTGGCTTAGGTAAAACTCATGATGGTTAGGCTCTGGTAAAATCGGGTCTTTTTGAGATTGGGTCTTAGTTAACAAGAACAGAAAGATCTGAGTGTATTTAAAAATGGTTACTTTTGGCCGGGTGCAGTGGCTCACGCCTGTAATCCCAGCACTTTGGAAGGACAAGGTGGGTGGATCACGAGGTCAGGAGATCGAGACCATCCTGGCTAACACAGTGAAACCCTGTCTCTACTAAAAAATACAAAAAATTAGCTGGGCGTGGTGGTGGGTGCCTGTAGTCCCAGCTACTCGGGAGGCTGAGGCAGGAGAGTGGCATTAACCTGGGAGGTGGCGCTTGCAGTAAGCTGAGATCGTGCTACTGCATTCCAACCTGGGTGACAGAGTGAGACTCTGTCTCAAAAAAAAACAAAAAAAAAACAAGGTTACTTTTCCCCTCTCTCTGTCTAAAGTATAGGGGATTTTTTTTCTGATCCTTGCTCTGATAACTTGGTGGGGCTCCTGGAGATAACACTGAAGAACATGTCCCCACCCCATGGGCCCCCAAGAGGTTTATCTCTCAAGTTACTCCATACTGAGCCTCAAGAAATTAGTCAATTACCCTTTAAGCGCTCCTACCCACAGGCTCCACATGTGGTTTCTGCCCCTAATAAGCTCCAATTTTCTGTATTCACCTGTATCTCCAGATCTGGGGAAAGCAATCTGCCCTGTTTCCTCAACTGACCAAAGATTTGTTGATTTTTCTGTTTTTCTTTTGCAAAGAGGTGAGTGACAACTTCCAAGCTCTTGCATGTTAGACTGGAAATAAGAGTCAAAAGGCCTTTCAATGGGAAATTATTCAGGTCATGATACACTTAGCCCAAAAGAAAGCAAAGGAGAGAAATTAATGTCAAAAACTTGTTGTTAAAAAGACAGAAGAAAGATGATCAATGGGATGAGTAAAGAGAAATAAGGAAGGGGAATTCTCATATTTTGATGGTTTAGAATTATATTTTGACCTAATCAAAAATAAAAATCTATTTTCTTTTCATGTTTTTCTTCCTCTTGCCTCTTTCTCGTCTTTACTCTTGTCTTCCTTTATTTCCTCTGTCCTTCTCCTATCTTCTTCTTTTCTTTCCTTGTGTTAGGAGTTGGGGAGATTTCTTCTCTGGTTCAGTCATGTCAGTACTGATATTTCTGCTAGGGGAAAAGTGGCCCATCCCCTTTTAGACTGGCTGCACTGGCATGCCAGACAGATGCATCGTGTTGGCATCACCTTGATGCTTACATTGGAGCCTGTCCCAGACCTTTTTTCTTTTTTCAAATAATATCTTATAAAAAAATATTTTATTGAGGAATAACTGACATACAAGAAGCTGTACATATGTAAACACAACTTGATGACAAGATCAAGTTTGAAGATAAGTATATACCAGTGAAATTATCACCACAATCTGTGCCATAAACACATCACTCTTTCATGATTCTTACTGTACATTTTATTTGTGTTAACAATAGGACAAACATAGGGTGGCTTGGCTCTCAGGGATCCCCCCTGAAGGTCACTAAGTGAACTCTCAAGTGAGGACGATTTACTCACTTACCAAGTGCTGAATACAAGTGTCTAGGAGAAGGATTGAAAGCTATGAAGTACCTCTTCACTTGACATGTCAGAGTTTAGGGCATTGCTTTCCATTGTTTTTAATATACTTTGCTTATACTCTTATGGACCATTTCAGTCTTCATTAATTTTCACAGGGCTCTTGCTGTAGAGAGAATGAACATATAAGCTCTCCTTTTTTGGCTTTAGTGGGATGTTATTCAGAAGTAACTGCTACAGTCTAGTGAGTCAGCAGTCCTGGTTTTTGCCAGGACTGTGGAGAGCCATGCCTCTGTGGAGGCCAGCACATCGTCTGATGATGGGGCCATAACAGCCTGGACACTGATCACAGGTGTGTGCCTTATCAAATGGGTGATACTATTAATGCTGAGACAAACAAATGTCCTTAGAATCTCAGTTAGCATGATGGACTGTCTTGTGTATACTCAAAACCTAAAAAGATTAGCAATTGTTATTCAGTGCTTGGCCCTCCAAGCATCCCAGGAATCTAGTTATAAGATCCAGGCTGCATATTCACCCAGTCTAACTCTAGCTTTTTTGTTCAGAACTTCAATAAATCATTAAATATAGTATTAAGTATCCAAGAGCCTTGAATAAGGAAATAGAAGAGAAAGCATTGTATTGACTTTGAGTAGAAGGGAGTGGCAGATGTCTTGCAAAGGAGGAATGAATAAAGGTAAGCAAACAAGGCCTGGTTTGTGGCAGAGGATTAAAAAAAAGCCCAATGTTGGTGCGAGCTTGGAAGTGAGTTGGACATGCATCACCTTCAGAGGAAGGTAATTCAGAAGGAAAAAGAAAGAGATATATAATCGAGTTTTGCTTATGTATCTTGGGCCTAATTATCCTTAGAGGATATACCCTCAGGTGCCACAATCCTGAGAATTCAAACCCATTCTTCCACTTACTAGCTGTTTAGCCTTGGGCAAGTTACTTAACTACTCTGTTCTTAGAGTTATTATAAAAATTAAATTATTTAATACCTATAATGCTCTTGGAATACTGCCTGGCATGTTGTCAGCACTATTAAGTATATGAATCCTATATTACATAATTGTGGATTGCTTCCTTTGAACTATGTTGTGAGTATGGAGGTTATAGAGGTGCCTGATGCACGTGTGCAGATGTAAAGTTTGGTCCTGTCACTGAGGAGATTTCAAAAGTGCAATATTCAGCAAAATACTGCAACTTAAAGTTGCAAGGGAATCATGTAGATTGTCCACTCCACATAGTCTATAATCACTATTTAAGATCAATTTGGAGAAGGCTTTCCAGGGGCTTTGTGCAGTCTCTGACAGCAGCTATCCTGCCGCACAGGCTCTTCAGGAACTTGGGTGAAGATATAAAGGGTGTGCCCATTGGAGCTATGGGGGAATATATACAGTACATGTTTGTTTAAAACAAGTCAGATCCCAAAAGGTGTGGTTCAGCTTAAACTCTTCTTGCTTGTCTCACTGCAGCTCCTAACACTGCTCTCCTTTTAGTGTTAGGCTACACCACTTGGGTGTTTCTGTGCACACTGCATATCCTTTCCTTGTGCTATTCTTTCTTCCCAGGTGTTTGGGGAATGCTTCTTTTGGGTCATTAGCTGAATAAAGCCATTCCTCTCTGGGGCACCTTAAAGGCCATTATGCTTTAGTCACAACCCAGGAAACTGCCTGCAGCTCTTGGAGGCTCAAGGCAGACCCAGGGCTTTGTTGGCAAATCCCAGCTTTGCCTTGGATGGCAGGATGAGGTCAGGCACCTGTCCCCATGGGCTCAGTTCACACATACACCTTTATTTCACACTGGGCAACACGCTGTCAAACTTGTGAAGAAAAAGGATCTTCTCACTCTAGCGAGGACCTGCTCATACCCCAATTTGGCTATACCACTTGCCTCTGCACAGCCATCTGTGCCACCAGTGATGAAGGGCATCTCATTTAAGGGTTTATTAAACAGACTTAATTAGGCAGGGAGACAAGGAAATGGCTTTATATTCTCTCTCACTGCATTCAATTCCATTCTGTTTGCTCTTCCTTCCCCACCACAGGATTGAATCTAGGGATGGTCTCACAGCATTTCTGATCTGTTTTAGATACTAGAATAGTCATGTCTTCAGGTACTAGCAAGTTGAGATATATTTAAATTAAAGCTTCCTTCCCAGACACAGAGGAAAGCCTCTCCTCCTCACCTGCTCAGGCCTGACTCTGCTCATGGATCAGAGTTGGGATTGGGTGGTTCTGCTCCTTCACTCTGCTTAAGCATTGTCCTACCTCTTCCACGTAGTCTGACTCCCTCTGCATCCTGCTGGATTTGGGCTTGGAGGAGGGAGCCATTCCCTCATTCAACAAATATTCACTGTGTTTTAAATTTACGTCTGGTACTGCTCAGAGTTCTGGATATAAACCCTGATGATAACGTCCTGCTTCATGGAAATTTTTTCAAGCAGGGTGAGGCAAAATGTGTTAATAAAAATATATTGAATCTTAAGACAATAGGAGGTGTGGGGGAAAGTAAGGCAGAAAAGGGGAACATGGATTTCTGGCAAGGGGGTTTGCCATTTTATATAGAGTGGTCAATGAAGGACATTCTCGTTAAGTGACATTTGGGAAAAGATCTAAGGGAAATAAGTGAGTGGGTCATGGAGAAATATGGGGAAGAAAACCCAAGCAGAGGAGACCTCGTATTCAAAGGACACAAGATGTGAACATTGAGGCAGAGAAGTAGTGAGGATAAGATGGAGTGAAGTCATGGAGATGTCAAGGTCAGAAGTGGAGAGGCCAGTTGAGGGATTATTACAGTAATCTAGGAACAGGAGGAGATCTGCACAGAGCTTGGCATTGCCCATTACCGACTAGCTTCTGAAGGTAAACCAGAAGCTGGAGGTTTAAGGAGCAGGGAGAAGATGTGAAGGAGGAGATGAGGGAAAGGAAAGAACTAGGGAATTGTGGTTGCAGAATTGCAGCAGTCCTAGGGGCCCCTTGAGGTTGTGGTCATTAATTCAAACAAAAACAAGTCGGCTTGGTTTTACTTAGGTGACATTCTACAGCCTGAGTGCAGAACATTTTTTCCAAAACATAATTTTGTGGGTTCTTTGGAGACTCCCGTATGAGGACATGTAATGTGACTCATTCCTTTGTGACTCTTTTCCGTCCCTATGAGGCGAAACAATTCTGGGATCTTGCATTTTGGCAGGACACCATCTTGTTCGGGATCCTTTAAAAGTGACTTGAGATTTTATTTTATTTGCACTTCCCAGAGCATTCACATGCTTCTTGGGAATTTGGCATTCTTTCCTGTCATTGGTGGAGACATAGCTGACCCCCTGTTTTCCTCTCTTCTTCTTCAACTCTTGTGGCTGATTCAGACCTGTCCAAGTCAGAGTCCACAAACTATCTCGTTGCAACCCACACTTTAGGGGATACATGTTAAGTTCTTCCAAGAATTTTCCAGGCTTGATCGGGACAAACTGCTATGTTTCTGCAGCCTAGAAAGTACTGTCTAACTAGAGAATAAGATGGTAACTTCTTTTTTGTGGAAGTACAGACTTGGATCTCTTTTTAGTCTTCCTTAAAAAAAAAGATTGCTAGGATAAAAGCACTACACCTGTGTAATAGGACACCTGCATACTATATACTATAGTAATAGAACACCTGTATACTCTTTACCCAGATTCACCTATTGTTAACTTTTTACACCATGTACTTTATCATTTGCATGCTCTCCCTGTATAGATAAAGAAGTCTATTTCTGTCTTTGTTTCCTCTTGAATACTTCAGTGTTTATTTTCCAAGAAGAAGCATATTCTCTTATAAAACTACAACACAGTTATGAACTTATAAAAATTACATTGATATAATTATTTAATTTTAAATCTAATATATCATTTTGTATTTTAACTTAGATGTTGATTTAATAATGTCCTTTAAAGCATTTTCCTCCTGAGTACAAGCTCTGGTCTAGGCTCAGGTATTGCATTTAGTTGTTATGCCTCTTTATCATCCATTAATCTAGAATATTTCCATATAATTTTATGACACTGACATTTTTGAAGGATACTTTCCCTTTCTTCTAAAAAATAAAACATTTCTCATTTTGCATTAATGTAATGTTTCCTTCTGATTAGATTGAGGTTGTGTATTCTTTTTAAAGAACTGAGATAAAGTTCATTTACCACAAAATTCATTTTTTAAAAATGGACAATTCAGTAGTTTTTAGTTCATTTATAAGGTTGTGCAACCATCACCACTGTCTAATTCTAGAATATTTTCATCATTCCAAAAATAAACCTCTTATTGATTAGCAGTTAGTCCCTATTCACTACTCCCTCCAGCCCCTGGAGTCCATTAATATACTTTAATTCACCATGTATTTGCCTATTCTGAACATTTCACATAAACTCTGTTGTACAATGTATGACCTTTTGTGTCTGGCTTCGTTGATTCAGCATGTTTTTAAGGTTTGTCCTGGTAGTATGTATCAGTGCTTTCTGGATGAGTAATATACAATTACAGGGAGATGCAACATTTGTTTAGCCATACATCAGTTAGTGGATATTTGAGTTGTTTCTACCTTTTGACTATTATGAATGATACTGTTGTGAACATTCATGTACAAGTTTTTGTGAAAGTATGTTTTTATTTCTCTTGGGTATATACCTAAGAATGGAATTGCTGGGTTGTAAGGTAACTCCATGTTTAACTTTTTTAGAAACTACCAAAGTATTTTCTAAAGTGGTTGCATCAGTTTACATTCCTACCGGCAATGGATGAGGATTCTAATTCACCCACATCATTGCCAACACTTCTTAATGTCTGTCCTTTTGATTATAGCTATTCTAGTGGGTTTGAAGTGGTATCTATCTCACTATGGTTTTAATTGTCATTTCCTCATTTCCCTAATGACTTTTTTTTTCTTTTTGAGACAGAGTCTCACTCTGTCACCAGGCTGGAGTGCAGTGGCGCAATCTCACTGCAACCTCTGCCTCCTGGGTTCAAGCGATTTTCCTGCCTCAGCCTCCCGAGTAGCTGGGACTACATGCGCATGCCACCCCGCCCAGCTAATTTTTTGTATTTTTAGTAGAGACGGGGTTTCACCATGTTGGGCAGCATGGTCTCCATCTCTTGACCTCATGATCCGCCCGTCTCAGCCTCCCAAAGTGCTGGGATTACAGGTGTGAGCCACTGCGCCCTGCCTTCCCTATTGATTAATGATATCAATTGTCTTTTCATGTGCTTACTGGCCACTTGTATATCTTCTGTGGGAAAATGTCTTGTTCAAATTTTTTCCCCATTTTAAAATTGGGTTGTCTTTTTATTGTCAAGTTGTGTTCTTCATATATTCTGGATACTAGACCTAGACCCTTATCAGATATGTTTGCAACTAATCGCTCCCATTCTGTGAGCTTTTAATTTTCTTAACAATGTGTCCTTTAATGCACAAAAGTTAATAATTTTGATGATATCCAATAAATTTTTTCGATTATCTATCTTTTTCTTTGGTTGCTTATGCTTCTGGTATCATATCTAAGAAATTGTTGTCTAGATCAAGGTCATGAAGATGTACTCCTATGTTTTCTTCTAAGAGTTTTATAGTTTTAACTTTTAAATTTTGGTATTCGATCCATTTGAATTAATTATTGTACATGGCAAAAAGGAAGATCCAACTTTACTTTTTTGCAAGTGGATTTCCAGTTATCCCAGCTCCATCTTTTGCAAAGACCATTCTTTCCCTATTGAATTGTTATGGAACACTTGATGAAAATCAATTGACCATAAATGTATGGGTTTTTTTTATGGACTCTCAATTCTTTTCCATTGATGTATATGTTCGTTCTTATGCTAGCACCACATGGTCTTTACTACTGTTGCTTTGTAGTGACTTTTGATATTGGGAAATACAAGGATTCCAACTTTGTCCTTCATTTTCAAGATTGGTTTGCTATTCTGGGTTTCATATATTTTCATATAAATTTTAGAATAAGTATGTCAATTTCTGGAAAAAGGGCAACTAGAAATTTGTTTTGGTTTATTTATTTTTTATTTGTATAAATATAGGGGGTACAAGTGCAGTTTTATTACATGGATATGTTACATCATGGTGAGATTTGGGCTTTTAGTATAACCATCACCTGATTAGTGTACATTGTACTCATTTAATTTATTGTCTTTCACCCACCTTCCACTCTCACACCCTTCTGAGTCTCCAGTGACTATTATTCCACAATCTATGTCCATGTACACACTTTATTTAGCTTCCACTTATAAGAAAGAACGTGTGGTATATGACTTTTTGTTTCTGTGTGATTTCACTTAAGATTGTGGCCTCCAGTTCTATCTATTGCTGTAAAAGACATGATTTTACTTTTTTATGGCTGAGTAGTATTCCATTATATATATATATGTGTGTGTGTGTGTGTGTATATACATATATACACATACATATATACACATATATATGTATATACATACATATATATACACATATATATGTATATACATACATACATATACACATATATATGTATATACATACATACATATACACATATATATGTATATACATACATACATATACACATATATATGTATATACATACATACATATACACATATATATGTATATACATACATACATATACACATATATATGTATATACATACATACATATATACATATATACATACATATATATACATATATGAATATATACACATATATATACACACATATATATATTGAAAAAAATATATATATATTCAGTAAATGGTCCTGAGAAAACTGGATTGCCATATGCAGAATAAAACTGGATCCCTATCTCTCACCATATAAAAAAATTAAGTCAAGATAGATTAAAGACTTAAACATAAGACTGAAAATTTTAAAAATACTAGAAGAAAACCTAGGAAAAATTCTTCTGGACAATGGCCTAGGCAAATAATTTATAACTAAGACCTCAAAAGCAAATGCAACAAAAACAAAAATAGACAAATGAGACTTAATTAAATTAAAAACCTTCACATCAAGAGAAACAGGAAACTAGAATTTTAATAGGAATAAATTGAATTGGTAGAATAATTTGGGAAGTATTGCCGTATTAAAAATATGAAGTCTTCCAGTCTGTGAACACAGGATGTTTTTCATTTATGCAGGTCTTTAATTTTTATAATTACATTTTTTGGTTTCAAGTTTTTCACTTCTTTTGATAAACTTACTTGTACACACTTTATTTGTATACTATTGTAAATGAAATTGTTTTCTTAATTTTATTTTTGAATTGTTCATTGTTAGTGTATAGAAACACAGTTGATTTTTGTATACCGAACTTTTATCTTGCAACCTTGCTGAATGTGTTTCTTAATTCTAGTAGTTTCTTTGTGAATTTCTTAGGAGTTTCTGTATGTAAGATCATGCCATATGAGAATAGAAATTTTACTTATTTTCCAAACTGGATGCATTCATTTCTTTCTTTTACCCAATTGCTCCGCCTGAAACTGCAAATACAATGTTGAATAGAAATGATAACAGCAAAAATATTTTTCTTGTTTTTGATATTAGGAGCAAAGCTTTCAGTTGTTTACATTTATGTATGATGTTAACTATGGGTTTTTCATATAGAGTAGTCCTCCCTTATTTGTGATTTCACTTTGCATGGTTTCACTTTGCACAATTTCAGTTGCATATGGTCAGCCGTGGTCTTAAGATATTATATACTGTAAAACATTTTGAGAAAGAAAGATAGATCCTACTCACATAGTTTTTTATTACAGTAAATTGTTATAATTGTTCTATTTTATTCTTAGTATGGCTTTTAATCTCTTACTGTGCCTGATTTATGAATTAAACTTGATCATAGTTATGTATATGTAGGAAAAAACATAGTGTATATGTAGGGTTCAGTACTATCCACAGTTTCACGTCTTCACTGGTGGTCTTGGAACTTACCTTTCATGGATAAGGGGGTACTGTCGTATGCCCTTTTTCAGATTGAATTTCCATTCTATTCCTAGTTTGTTGAATTTTTTTTTATCATAAAGGGAAGAAAGTTTTGTCAAATGCCTCTTCTATGTCTATAGAGAGAATTCGTGAATTTTTTTCCTTATTCTATTAATACTATTTATTACCTTGTTTGATTTTTGTATGTTAACCAGCATTGCATTCCTGGATAAATCCTAGTGGGTCATGGTGTAGAATCTTTTTAGTATACTGCTATATTCAATTTGGTAGTGTTTGTTGAGGATTTTTGCATCTATATTCATGAGAGATATTCATTTGAAATTTTCTTTACTCATAATGTGTTTGCCTAGTTTTGGCATCAAAGTAGTAAGATGGAGAGTTCTTTTTCTTCATTTATGTTTTTGGAACATAAATGAACATAAATGTTTGTAAAGGATTTGTTTTAATTATCTTTTAAGTGTTTGAAAGAAGTCATAAATGAAGCCATGTGGCATTCTTGTGCTTTTCTTCATGAGACTTTTAAAAATCTATTTTATCTAGGTTCTAATTCATTGACACATAATTTTTCATAGTATTTCCTTAAAATCCTTTTTATTTCTAGAAGGTTGCTAATAGTTTCTCCTCTTTTCATTTCTGATTCTTAGCAGTTTGACATTTCTTTCCTTCTTTTTCTTGTTATTCTAGCTAATAACAAGATTATTGCTAACCTTTTTAAGAAACCAACTTTTATTTCACTGGCTTTCTATAATGCTTTTCTATTCTGTTTTATTTATTTGAGCTTCAATCTGTATTTCTCCTTCCTTCTGCTTTCTTTACATTTAGTTTGCTTTTCTGATTCCTTAAGTAAAAATTTAGTTTATTGATTTAAATTTCTTTTTTAATATATGCATTTACAGTTATACGATTTCCTCTGAGTACCACTTTTGCTGAATCTCATAAGTTTTGGTATTTTATGTTTTCATTTTCATTTATCTTAAAATATTTTCCAATTTTCCATTCGATTTCTTCATTGACCCACTGGGTAGTTAAGGGTGTTTCATGACATTTCTTTGTATTTCTGAATTTCCGAAATGGTATTGTGTGTTAATTTCTAACTTTCCATTGTGTTTGGAGAATATATTTTGTATGGGTTTAATCCTTTAAATTTATTGAGACTTGTTTTATCACCTAACATAGAATCTATCCTTGAGATTGTCTCATGCATACTTCAGTAGAATGTGTATTCTGCTAATATTGGATAAAGGACCCTGAAGGTGTCTGTTAGGTCTAATTGGTTTCTAGTACTATTCTTCTTTTTTCTTGTTAGTTTTCTGTATAGTTGTTCTATCCATTATGAAAAGTGGAAGTATTGATGTCTCCGACTATTATTGTTGATATGTATTATTTCTTACAACTGCGTGAGAATCTACAATTATCTGTAAATTAAAAAGTTAAATATTTAAAAACTATAAAGTTTTTCAATTCTTAGAGCTCCCATACCAGCTCTTTGCTTGGCTTTAATTGGGGACATTTCTTCCCTTCATTCCTCTCAACTTGAGAGCCTTAGCTAAACTGCTAAATCAAAAGAAAAGTTCCCATTTAACATCCTGTTACTGAAGTGTCATGATGAATCAGATGACAGCAGGCAGAGAAGGAAGCAGCGGCTGAGCTCTTGGCATGACTGAGTCAATCTAGGAGGGATTGTCCAAATGCAGAACTGATTAGGTATCAATGTCTGCTGAGTGGAGTCTCAATTATAGGTCAATAATAAAGGTAGAAATTGAACTTGTTGAGGTCAGGGTGGTCAGTGTAGTCCAGGTGGGGTTGAAAATTAAAAACTAAGTGGGGACAATGGGTATCACTGTGTCAAAGATAAATTGGGTAGTTGCCAAAGTGGAGATCAGGAGATCTCCCAAGTCAAAGCAAATGATTCTTTCTGGGAGTGCACCTTGATTCTGGCAGTCCTTCCCGTTATCTTATTTCAGGCTGCTTTTATTTATGCTCTGTGCTAAAGGGAATGTTCCTACCCCTTTAAAGGTACCTAGGACTTCTAACAAACAGGGAGTTCCCTGTGTGCCTGCAGGAAGCTGACGCCTGTGTTTGGTCACATAGACCACGTAGGGCCCAAGTTGTCTGAGCATCTGGCACGGCCTCCAGCTCGTAGAAGAGACTCAACTAAGGTATCTTCCTGTTTTTTCTTCTCAGGTTGTGGTGTGTCTTGTATGCCAGCCAAATTGCATTGAAATTTATGTATGCACGTACGTATGTATTGCCTTTGGGAAAACCTTGAGATTCTGCTTGGGGTACAACGTGATATAATAAAAATAAGTCATTGGATCCCTAAACCCTGAGCATGCCTAGCTCTAAAAGTTACTGAAATTTAGGCAAGTTATTAAACTTCTATGTGTGTACATATGCTTGTACATTAGCCATGTAGGCATGAACACCTATGCATAGTTGCATATACTGGCACATATACACTGGAGGGTGGCTGATGCAATTATTAAATATATTATTTGTAAAGTACTAGCACTGTGTCTGATGTTCAAAGGATGAGAGCTTCTTAGTATTTTCTCCCTCTTTTCCTTCCCTTCTGCTTTCGTATGTGTGTGTGTGCCTCAGAGAGAAAGAGTAGTAACTCACTCAGTTGGAAAAGAAAGCTGAAAAAACACAAAAAACAAAACACAGCGATTGCCTTGGCTTCAGGCATTTCAACCTATAGCTTTAACAATTTTGCTCCTGAAAGTGACCATTTCTTTTAGCTAAACTGACTGTATGGAGCAGAGGCTTTGACATTAGGTACAAGAATAGGTAGAAGAGTGTTACTGCTGGTAAGGGCTCATTTTGCCTTGTAAAATAGATGTGAGTGCAGCCTTTTCTGGGCAGAACTAGATGTGGTCCCTGGACAGACCCCAGGCTGCATGTGAAAACTGCAGCACTGTTTTTTCCCTTTCCCCTCTCGGTGCTCTCCATCCTCATAGAAATGGTGGTTGTGCTGCTGCACCTGGATTTTGTTACCGTGGTTACAGATGCAGTCCCTGGTGGAGAAGGGGAGGGAGCCGTATTTTTATAAGGGCAAATTGTACTGACATTTAGATTGGAGGCATCACAATGAAGAACGACTGCTGGAGAATGGATGAGCATGTGTTCCCTTTGCAAGTGGGATGTTGGGAAGACTCCTGCCTCCTGCCCTTTCTCAATGTTTGTGTGTGTGTAGCGGGGAGGAAGGGGTGTGGACTCAGCCCCTAACATATTCAGAGGACCAAGATTCTGGTCGGGAATAGAAAAAGAGCCTTTTTCAGTGAGATTTTGAGGGGTCAGGGCTGAATTAGAAGTTTCTCAACAGATGCTGTAAATTATATCAAACCATAGTCCGATCTGAATAGAAAGCCAAATCCCCAAAGCCTAAAGGAAATGGGAAGGGTAGCCAAATGTAAAGAGCTGGCAATGATGTGGCAGAGAGGGAGTCAGCAGTCTGAGGATGAGGGAGACAGGAGCAGTACACGGTGCGCAGATTAGAGCCTTACCTGTGGAAGAGACTCATGTTTGCAGCCTGCTTCTTGGGAGTGGTGCCTGCGTGGGCTGGTGGAACTTATTTACTAGGGGGAATCTAGCTGAAGGATGCCTATGTCATTTGGGACATGGAAGAGCCAACCAGGCTGCTGAGCTGGGGCTTCTTCCCCATCCTTACAGAAAATGATGTTTTTAAGGATAAATCGGTTGCAAAAGTTTTCTTCTGATCAGTAACAGGCTTAATGTATATAAAACGTCTCCATTCACAGAAGTGCAATTGTCACTGGATCTTCCAGTTTTCCTTGTTGGTTAGCCAATCAGTCAGTTAGTCAAAAACATCTACGAAGTTTTCACTTCATGCCAGGGCTAAAGGGCTCAAGGTGCCTAAGGTTGAAATGCTATTTTTTTTTTCAATTTTTAATTTCTGATAATTTCAACTTTTATTTGAGATTCAGGGGTACGTGTGCAGGTTTGTTACATGGGTATATTGTGTAATGCTGAGGTTTGAATGATTGATCCTGTCACCCAAGTAGTGAGCTTAGAACCTAGTAGTTTTTCCATCCTTGCCTCCTCCCTCCCCCTCTTGTAGCCCCCAGTGTCAACTGCTGCCATCTTTATGTTCATAGTACCCAATACTTAGGTCCTGCTAAGTAAGAACATGCAGTATTTGGTTTTCTGTTCTTGTGTTAATTTGCTTAGAATAATGGCCTCCAGCTACATCCATGTTGCTGCAAAGGACATTATTTTGTTCTTTTTTATGGCTGCAGAGTATTCCATGATGTATATGTACCACATTTTCTTTATCCAGTCCACCATTGACGGGCACGTAGGTTGATTCAATATGCTTGCTATTGTGAATAGTGCTGTGCTGAACATGTGTGTGCATGTGTCTTTTTGGTAGAATGATTTATTTTCTTTTTGGCATATACCCAGTAATGGGATTGCTGAGTCAAATGTTAGCTCTGTTTTAAGTTCTTTCAAAAATCTCCAAACTGCTTTTCACAGTGGCTGAGCTAGTTTACATCTCCACCAACAGTATTTAAGCATTCCTTTTTCTCTGCAGCTTCACCAGCATCTGTTGTTTTTAATAATAGCTTTCTGACTGGTGTGAGATGGTATCTCTGAAATGCTATTCTTTTGTTCAACCTCAGTACCCTCACCTTAACTCAGCATCCACACTCAGAATTTAAGCATACTCTCCCTAAGGACAGGAATTGGGTTACAGGATATCGGAGAATGACAAACACAGAGTCGTGGAAAAAGTCTTTGATTGGCTATTGATCTAGCCTTGGCCTTCAAGCAGGCAGATGTTCACGGGCTCCTTGGAGCCCCTGTGCCAGTTGCCAACTCAGCCAGCCAAGAGTCCAGGACTGTGTAGATAGAGGGGCTGCTTTGTCCACTCTTAACTTGTATTTCTGATATTGTGGAAATTAACTGGAACTGCTTAACATGAATACTTGGAGAGATGAAGAACTTGTGTCTTCCATGTTCCCATTGGTCAGTCTGGAGAGAATGTATTTACCAACTTGTGTGTATAGACGAAGTGATATAGACTTCTGTTTGTATGTTCTGTGTATACATTTAAGTGGGCGCCTGCATGTGTTCATGAGTGCAAATGTGTGTGTGTGCACTTACATACGTACATAAGTAAAAGGCTTCTGGATTTGAGGGTTGAATATTCTCTCTCTCTCTCTTTTTTTCTTTCTTTCTTTCTTTCTTTTTTTTTTTTTTTTTGAGACAGAGTTTCACTTTGTTACCCAGGCTGGAGTGCAGTGGTGTGATCTTGGCTCACTGCAACCTCCGCCTCCCAGGTTCAAGTGATTCTCTTGCCTCAGCTTCCCAAGTAGCTGGGATTACAGGTGCCTGTCAACACACCCAGCTAATTTTTTTTTTGTATTTTTAGTAGAGATGGGGTTTCACCATGTTTGCCAGGCAGGTCTCGAACTCCTAACTTCACATGATCTGCCCGCCTCAGCCCCCCAAGTCCTGGGATTACAGGCATGAGCCACCACACCCAGCCAGAATATTCTTCTTATTAGCCCTGTGATCTTGAGAGAGCAACATTAGATCTTTCAGCCACAGTTTTCTCATCTGCAAATAGAAATAATTAATCCTATTTCACAGGCATCTTTGTGAGGATTATGTGTAGTAATTAATATAAAGCATCTGGCAGATGTCTGGTACAGAAAAGGCAATTGACAAATATTTCAGCTCTCCTTCATTATACACTGCTCCCTCTCCATGGACTTGGAAAAGCATACCTCGAATTTTGTGTCATTATTCTCAATTGATGGAGGAGCAAATGGCCCTCAAAACAGGCATATCAATAGCTTGAATAGTAGGCAATTTATGGAGTTTTGTGAAAGCATGTTCACATACTTGCTGTCCTCATGATATCCATTAGCTAAAGTAAAGCAGTCAAAATCATCTTCGTTGTTGACATGCAGAAGAAAAGTGGGAAAGCACAGAGGAGCTATTAACACAGATTGCAGTTCCTGGTTCATGTATCTCAAGCACTCTGACCTGGCCAGAGGAAGATAAGGCTGCCCCATGTACAGTGACAGTCACGTACAGATAAAGTGCCTATCCCCTTTCTTTGTGTTTGGCTGCAACTGGTCCATTGACCCTAAGTCTTGCAATGTTACCCTAAATTGGAATGGTGCATATTGAATTCCCATTCCCTCCAGACTGAAGCAATTAGCAGCTTGTTGCTTCATGCCAGGCAGAACAAGCGTACTGGAACAGATGGGAGAGGCTCTCATGGTGCTTCCTATCTTGATAGTAGCCAGCACAAGGCCCCTCCTGATGGCCCATTCACTGGTAGGTGACACCACAGCCTGAGCAGGAACCTCCACTTGGTTCCTTCTGAGAGGTGGTTCACACTGTTCTCACAAGGGCTGCTCCCAATGTTTGGTACTCACAGCCCACCTTTCATGGAGGTTCATGTACATGCGTGTGCTTACATCTTCAGCAACACTGAGCAAAAGCCGTAGTGGGGTCTGTAGTTATTCTGGTCAGATGCAATGGTCATTTTGTTGAATCCAGGAGCACAAGATTAAAGAGAAGAGCTACAGCTTAAACTGCAAAGAATAGGATTTAGGTTAGAGATAAGGAAGAATAACTTGTCTCTCTGGCTGAGTCAGCACTAGAACAGACATGCCAGAGTGTTGGCTTATCTCTCTTTATGGGATTTCCTTTGTTGATCTGTCTTGGCCACTGTTGAGGCGGGCAGGGGTCAGGGAATGAGCTGAATGGAGGTAATGGCCCTTGACACAGGTACAACTAAAAAGCTGAGATATTTACTGCAGCAGAACTACACTAATTTCTTATTTGTCACTACACTGCCAATTTTCCTTTTTGACGTTAATCCTTTAAAATCATTTTAATTTCTTTATTCTATTAGAAAAAGCAAAGCTCTGATCTAGTAGACTTTCATTAAGTTATATTGAATGAACGAATATATCATCTCTATGCCTGTTTAAGGCCTAAGTATTTCTTCTTCTTCTCTAGAATATACCTGATCTCTGATAGGTTGAAGTATTGTTAAAGACTATTTTGTAATTCCTATAGAGAGACATCCAATGAGTTCTTAAAAGTCTTCCAAGTTTGAATTAAATTAAACTATGAATGGAAACCTGTTCTAATGCAGTATCCTGTCCAGCTGAGCCTCTCTTTCAAAAAGTGCAAGTCCACTCTTCCATTTCTAACCCTGTCATGTGTCACTTACATTGTCCACCCCAGCACTACTTGCCCATCCAAACCCTACCCATTTATCACATCCCTGTTCATGGCACAATTCCTCATCACTCCAGCCCATTGACCAACCTCCTCTAATGCCCAGAGGGTGTAATTGTCTGAGCAAGTGTCAAAGTGTGAGTGTGGAAGCCCAGTCAACTGGGTTTGAATTTCATCCATAGACAGTGGCCACAAAATGATGTTTTGGTCAATGACAGACTTTATAGACAATAGTGGTCCCATAAGATTATAATGGAGCTGAAAAATTCCTATCACCTAGTGATGCCTTAGCCACATGCTGCAAGGCATTACTCACATGTTTGTGGTGATGCTGGTGTTGACAAACCTACTGCACTGAAAGTCATATAAAAGTAGAGCACAAAAAAGAGAGTACAATTATGTACAGTTCACAATATTTGGTAATGATAATAAATGGCTATGTTCTGGTTTATGTATTTACTGTATTATACCTTTAATCCATTATTCTAAGGTGTACTCCTTCTCCTTATAAAAAGGAAGTTAATTGTGAATCAGCCTCAGGCAGGTCCTTCAGGAGTATTCCAGAAGAAGACATTGTCATCATAGGAGATGACAGCTTCATGCATGTAATTGCCCCTGAAGATCTTCAAGCAGGATAGGATGTGGAGGTGAAAACAGTGATATTGATGATCTTAAATCTGTGTAGGCCTAGGCAAATCTGTGTGTCTATGTCTTCGTTTTTAGCATAAAATGTTAAAAAGTAAAAAAAAAAAGAAAAATAGGAAAAAGCTTATAGAATAAGCATATAAAGAAAAAATATTTTTGTATAGCTGTACAATATATGTTTTAAGCTAAGTGTTATTACAAAAGAGTCAAAAGTTAAAGAAAGTTTATAAACCAAAAATTTAAAGTAGGGTTAATTTATTATTAAAGATCTTTTTCAAATAAATGTAGAGTAGCCCTAGTGTACAGTGTTTTTAAAGTCTACAATAATGTACAGTAATGTCCTAGCCCTTCACATTCACTCACCACTCACTCAGTGACTCACCCAGAGCAACTTCCAGTCCTACAAGCTCCATTCATGGTAAGTGCCCTATACAGATGTACCACTTTTTATCATTTATACCATATTTTTACTGTATTTTTCTATGTTTGTTTAGGTACACAAATTTTTACCACTGTATTACAATTGCCTGCAGTATTCATTGCAGAAACATGCTGTGCAGGTTTGTAGCCTAGGAGTAATAGGCCACACTATATAGCCTAGGTGCATAGTAGGCTATACCACGTAGGTTTATATAAGTACATTCTATGATGTTTGCACAACTAAATCACCTAACAATACATTTCTCAGAATGTATTCCTGTCATTAAGCGATGCATAACTGTATATATAATCTGCAACAGGCAGGCTCTTAACATTGTTATCCATTCTATCCTCAGTTGTCTTTATTCTCCTTTATAATTTTGATACTTGGCAGGAATACTTTAGTTTTAAGTAAAATAGGTGCTCCCTAGGCCAGTTTACGTTAAAAACAAATAGGGAGTGGAATTTAGTAGTTTTTGCATGTGGGAAGTCAAGGGATAGAATTAACTTAGATGAAAATAGAATCAAAATATCAAAATATTATCAGGAACAAATCAAAAGCTCAAAATGAGTTAGGTTTTCTTTTTCCGTCTTTCTGTTTCTGTACTCATCCCCCTACCCAGGAAGGCATATTCTGCCTTGTGGCAAAGATGGCCTCCTGTATCTTTAGGCTTATTATAATCTAATCCACCCACAGACAGCAGAAATTCTATTTTCCTAAAATATCATCAAGAGTGCTGAAGCTTGATCTAGAAAACCTTTGGTTTAGGTTTCCTGGCCAGCCCTGACCTTTGACTCAGATGAGTTCATGCCCGACTTGAAGACCCTCACTTTGATCTGAGAGTGGGCTCAGTGCCATTAAAATGTGTAGAAAAGAATGTGGGAGATGAAGAATTTTCAAAGGAAAATGAAGCTTCTTACACTAAAAAAGAAGATATTGGCCTGTCGTGGTGGCTCACTCCTGTAATCCCAGCACTTTGGGAGGCTGAGGCAGGCGGATCACAAGGTCAGGAGATCGAGACCATTCTGGCTAACATGGTGAAACCTGTCTCTACTAAAAATACAAAAAATTAGCCAGGCATGGTGGCGGGCGCCTGTAGTCCCAGCTACTCAGGAGGCTGAGGCAGGAGAATGGTGTGAGCCCGGGAGGTGGAGCTTGGAGTGAGCCGAGATCATGCCACTGCACTCCAGCTTGGGCGACAGAGTGAGACTCTGCCTCAAAAAAAAAAAAAAAAAAAAAAAGGAGATACTTAATGCCTGGCAGACAAAACAGCAGATAACCAGTGTAATGCCTCTATCCAGCTTTGACCAATTTGTCTTCTTGGGCAACATTTGGAGTCATTTGTGCACCAGACTTAATGCCCAAGTCTTTGTTTTCTGTTCTTTCTTGTTTCTTTTATTTGTCTTTCTTGTCCCCAGATTGCAAACTTCAGAAGGACTGTGCCTCTTCTGGGAAAAATGCAATACACTCAGAATGAACAATACTTGTTTGGAACCAAATGTAGGTTTATATATTCCTCCTGCATATCAACAGCATCATCATGACCATCATCATCATCATCATCATCTCCACCATCGTCACCATCACTGTCGTAAACATCATCATCATGATGATTATAATCATACACCCATTTCTTGAGTACTTAACATGTGTCAGGCCCTGGGTAAGTGCCTCTAAACATTGTCTCATTTTATCTTAATGATAAAACATTATCTCATTTTATTTTCACAATGGGGCAGGTTTCTTTATCTTTTTTCTTTCTTTTTTTTTTTTTTTTACAAATGAAAAACCTGAGGCTGAGGTTATTGTATGCAGAGCCAAGATTTGAGTTGGATTTGTCTGACTCCCAAAGCACTTTAACACTAATAATTTACTAAGTATTGAATATTAAAATTATTTTTTCTGTTTTTAGAGCACTGTTATTCAACATACAGTTTGAGGACCACCTATGACAACATTGCTTGGGGTTGTATGCTAAAAATTCAGATTCCTGAGCTTTATCCAGAAATATGGAATCAGAAACTTTGGGAGTAGAGTTGAATCATATGTCTCTCACATAATTCTTACTAAACTCTGAGAATCATTGTTCAGGGAGTAGAAGATTTCCCATCTTCATGACTGTCTTCAATTCTTTGGTCACGTCCTTATAATTGTTCTCACAATAGCCATAATTTTTATAAGCTAAGCAATATGGTATATGGTGAAATCAAAAGAGAGCTACTGGAGAAGGGAGAAGCCAGGAACAGGCATGGCCAAGGTCAGGAGAAGCAATCTATGAAGTTCAAATTTGTGTTTATAATGTGTGAGAAACTCAAGCTCATTTGGAAAAGCTCTAAATTAGCGCAGCATTTGGCATGACTGACTCATTCCCATCCTTCAGTTCTTATGTAGTTTATTCTAGTGTACTTCATCATCCTTATTATTTCCTTCATAATATTTATTCAAATCTGTAATTATTTATTTATTTGCTAGATGTGTTAATTATCTGCCTATCCAATTAGAAGCTAACTTCCATGAGGACAAGATGAGGACAAGGGGTTTGACTTTGCTGAGGAAAGTCACCATGAAATTCACAGAGCCTAGCCCATGTTTGTAATCTTACAGATACTCAAAAATATTTGTCAAAAAATGCACCAATAATCTAGTGGAAGAGGCACGGCCATAGCAACCTTCCGGGAATGACCTAAAGTGAGACACCAGTTGGTTTTGTGGATTGAAATGCTTTATACTGTTTGAAGTCAAGCCTCAGCAAACATGTGGGAAAATCAGAACAGTGTCCAGGCACCACTTAGAATAATTGAGTGGGTAGGATCCAGGGTAGGGCTCTGATCCAAACAGAGGTCTGAACCAAGCCAGAGGCCAGATTGAGGAAATGTAATAGAGATTATGGGAAAATAAATTGGATTGGCCCATAGCATGCTAGATGCTGGATTTAGGTAAGATGTCATTGTGCTTATGACTAGCATAGGCTGTACCTACATATTCTATTGGCTGGGCCAGGACCAATGAAAGAATGCATAGGCCAAAGCCTGAAGTGTATAGTTGTTAGTGTTGAACCATAAGAAAATTCTCTCAACCTTTTTTTAATAAACTTTTATTTTAGGTTCAGGGGTATAACTGCCCAAAGGGTTCACCTTGCCTGTTGCCTAGACAGAGCCAATTCATCAAGACAGGGGAATTGCAACTTAGGCTTTTTAAATTGGCTTTGATGGAACTCCATTCCATGAAGAATTTTAGATAAGACTTTTTAAAAGCCAAGCCCAGCCATGGGTTTTTATCCTTAAATACCTATGAGTTGAGCAAAGTCTTCTTCTTTTGAGGTCCCAAGATAACTTGGGGTTCCTGAGCCTGTTAGAAAGTGACATTTTTTACTTACCACAAGTCAGGAACCTTGTATAGAGACTCTGTGTGGACAAGGTATGAGGCCAGATTTCCCAATGGGCTTTAATTAGCTTTATAAGTCAACTTTGATTCTTTAAAGGGTGCATGCCATTTTAGGCAAAGCCTTGGTAAAATGATCAATGTTTTCAATGGTGTCCTGTTACAAAAGAAAACAGATCGTTATTGCACTTATGCAATTAAGTATACTGCCATAAATTGGGAATACTCACAAATGGTTTCCAAATTCTAGAGAAATTAAGTAGAGGGAAAAAATATGCTTCAAAATTTTTCAAAGGAGTGTATTTTACTCACTTGCTAAAAGTTGCAAATAGCTTTAAAGAAATAAATTATCTTGACTCTGAAAACAAAAGGATTAGCAATGTTTAACACATTAGCTCTCCATGAGAGTCCTAGAAGTTTTTCTTTTTCCTTTATTTCAATAGCACAATTTTTAAAGTTATTTGAGACTTGCATTCACAGTTTTATATCTGATTATAAACTGTCTTTTGAAAAGGACCAAAGCAAGACAAAATGTCTGTGGAAGACAAAAGTCTATAGCCACTATTAAAGCTACAATTGACTAGTAATTTTGGTTAATTTTGTGGCATACAACAATTTTACATAACAATTATAATTATTAATAATGTACACTAAAGTATATTAGAATTATATGAGTTACCCATAAGTTTTAGAACACATACTAATAACATATTTATACAAATATAGTTTAAAGAAAACCAAACACCATTCACTTTTTTATTTGAAAGTTTTCTAATATCATAATCTCCAGAGTTATTAATCAGAAACTTGCATTTAAGAGTACGTATTAAATTTTATAGCTGATTATAAAACCATTTTTTAAGAGGACCAAAATGAGACAACAATTGTCTTTGGATGACAAAATCACTTTAGGGCAGCCACCGTTAAGGACAGGATTGACAAGGAAATTAGTTACCTCTGTGGCACACAACCATTTAACATAATTATAATTATTACTGACAACATATATTAAGTCATATTAGAATTATAGGAGTTTTACAAAATTTTGCAGCATATGCCAATAATACATTTATACAAATATAGTCCAAAGAACGCTAAACACCATTTAATATTTGACAATGTTTCCTGTATGATTTTTATACAGAATAAGCCAAATGTTATTTCTGGACTTTAGAGGACCTAATATTTAAAAGATTAAGCTAGAAAGAGACATAATTTACAATTTGATTTTGGAAAGTTTGTCAAATATCAAAAGTTTAGAATACTGGATATCACGAAATAGAATCTCAGGTCACCATAAGTCATTCATTTGGCCAAAATGATAATTTCAAAATCTTAAAAAGAAAAACCTTTACTCTGATAGAGGAGACTTAGCTTTCCAAACAAGACCCAATAAAAATAACATGAGGCTAACTGAAATTGTCTCTTTTTTCTCCTTCCTTTTTCCCCTGCCATTTACCCAAAGGAGAAAACAAAAATCTTTCATTATTTTTTAATATTACATACCAATTGTCTTCAAAAGAGAAAACCAAATTTCATGCTGGCATTAGTGCATCTTTAATGTTAAAGCTAGTTTTTTAAAATAAAATTTTATATCTTCATCCAGTTTTAATTAGTTTGACCATAACGTAACATTTTCATAAACTTTTTAGAACCCTTTACAATTTTCCATCAAATAGCAGATCAGTTTTTAAGAAAACCCTGTTATTCGGACACATGGGCCCAGATTCTGGCCCCATATCAGTGTGATTTTAATGTTTTAACCTGCGGAAAAAGCTAATTTTTTTTTTAATCTTAGCCAACTTGTTTTTACCCACAGAATTTTTTTTTCAAGATTAATCCTTTATAAATCCTTTTTATTTTGCTTAAACCTTCAGTTTTGTTCTATTACTTTTTTAATTGAAGAAAGTCTTTAAAACCCTTTGTATTAGACAAAATTACATTCCCTTTAACAAAAACCATATTCCTATGCCTTTTTATAATTTTTTACCAAAAACACATTCCTTATACACCTTGTATGTAAAACTGTCTCTTTAGTAAACTTAATTTCATGTTATAATGTTAACTCTTAGCAACTTTTATTTTTAGTGAAAAACCTGATAAGTAAGCGATTTTAATTATATACTGGGGTAGAGCTAGGGCATGAGACAGAAGTGAAGATAAAGTCTGGCTTTTTTCAGCATAGCTAGGGGCATGGCTTTCCACATGTCCCCAGGCCTTATCTTTAGTTTAATGATTCAAAGTAGGTAAACTGAACAATTTTCAAAAGTTAAGGAAACAGTCTGACCTTAAAGCATTTAGCAAATCTGATATCTGACCTTAATTTAGACCAAATATCTTTATTTTCAAGACATTTTAGTAATAATCTTTACAACTGTCTTTATTTCCAAAAGATTACTAAACTGATGTGAACAAAAAGGCATTAGTTTCTATTTTTTGACAAAATATTCGATTTAAGCACTTTTAAAGCCTATTAATCAGAGCTTTTTAATACATAAACATTATACACACACAACACATATACAGACAGAAGATTTAGCACCTGTAATATTTTTCATTTGCCAGTTTCTTTTTTTTTCTATTGATAACTCTTTTTATTTTTATTTTTTATTTATTTATTTTTTTAACCTTTCTTTTTTTATTATTATACTTTAAGTTTTAGGGTACATGGGCACAATGTGCCGGTTAGTTACATATGTATACATGTGCCATGCTGGTGTGCTGCACCCATTAACTCGTCATTTAGCATTAGGTATATCTCCTAATGCTATCCCTCCCCCCTCCCCCCACCCCACAACAGTCCCCAGAGTGTGATGTTCTCCTTCCTCTGTCCATGTGTTCTCATTTCTTAATTGGACTACTGGTTCAGAGTGGAGCCCTTGGAGGAACAGGGCCAGGAAAGCATGAATTTTTAGGGCCTAATCACAACTGAAGGCAAAGACAGAGCCCCAGAATTAAGGGTGCCATTTTATACTGGATCCTGGATCCTCAAAAGGAGGGAAATACTTCAGGAGAAGACAGAGCAGTACTTTTACCAGCTGTGCATTTTATCGCAAGGCAACTTAAAGCTAGTCAGCCCATTTTGTAATTAGACCATCCCCCATGGGGGGGGTCTCATCTCTCAGTGGGGGTGGGGATGTTTCCATATCTTCCAGGTGGCCAAGAGCATGCTTCTTTGATCCAAGGGTACAAAGAGTCAAGTATTCCTCCATAGCTACTGTTAACCATCTCCTAAAGTATATTTTACACTAGTTATTACACACCAAAGCCCTCTTATAATGAGAGGTAATTTCTGATAGCCCTAAAACTCAAAACCGTCAGATAACACAAGGCAAAACAGAAGAGAGCCTTTGATTTTGAGAGGGATCTATCTGCTTTTAATTCTTGGGCTTTCATGAGGAAAACAGAGCTTTTTTTCTAAAACAGGGTCTGTGGTGGTTCCTGTTTTTTCCAAGGAGTCCCAGGCTACCAGAAGTCATCTTAGGGCCTCTTATGTATGCATTAAGATTGGGAAGACAAAAAATGGAGAAAAATAATTCAGTCAACTGAGAAGAAAAGAACTTTTTCCAGAAAAAACAAGATCCAAGAAGCGAAAAACGTAAAAGTCTTTTAAATATATCTGTAGCTTGTTTATCCACTTTTAATTTAGCTGACTTTTTAACCATAGCTGTCTTAAAAAAAATCCTTTTAAATCTTTTATTACGTGACTTTAGCCACGTCAAGCAGCCAATATATTTGGCTTTTGAATTCTACCACAGGCAACTTCCCACATGAAATTAGTAAGTTTTAACTAAGGTTATAACTTAACCATGGACACACAGGTGTCTCAAAGAGATGATAAGCAGTTTCTTTCTTTCTTTCTTTTTTTTTTTTTTTTTTTTTTTTTTTTTTTACAAGATTTAGAATCTCCCCCAGGGTAGTTTAGAGAAAGGAAAATTCAAGACGGGAAATCAGAAGCTATCCGTGCTGGGGGGCAGGAGGGGGAACCTTAATAAATGGCAAAGTTACACAAATAAAAAACCAGAAAGGAATCATTCTGGAAGCCAAGAATAGAACCCAGGGTGCCATTGTCAAAAGGCAAAGCCTTAGCTACTGAGTTACAGCAGTGAGCAATTTTTATTGTTCTCCCCAGAAGGAGCCTAGAAAAGCCAATACCAAGCTTGCAAAGGCTTTTAACTGCTTAAGAACAATCTTAGGGCTAACTATGACATGAATCCCCAAATTCCTGTCTTCTAGGTGCCAGAAACCAAGAGAAAATATCCCCACATGGTCACGGGGTTAAGCTCTTAGAGACACAAAACAAGACAGAGAAATTTCATCCGGTGTTGGTTTCAGGGACCCGCTGCAAAGTTTGTAACTGACCAGCGCACTGGGCTGGCTTAAAAATCAGGCTTATAGGGGTCCTAAACCCACATTCTATTCTGTGATGCTCCTTTTTTAAATTACAGAACACAGAAAGGCAAATTCCTAGCACAAAGTGCACTAGGATTTGCTACTGCTTAAGCCTAGTCTTACAAATCTTTTTTCTATTAATCAAACCCTTGCAGAGAGACAAAGAGTGACATTTACAGTTTACCCAGAGAAAGAGAGAGAGAGAGGCCAGAAACTTGGCTGGTAAGAATTTCTTACCTTTTTTGCAATCATGCCAGGTTTCTGAGCTCTCTTTCTCTGTAGCTTCCAGAACAGAGTGGCTTCTAATGACCCTGCTCACTGCATCATAGCTGTGGGGTTCAGGCCACTTTACAAGAGAAAATCACCCTTTCCTATTTTATGGAACCATAGGCAAGATTCTTAATTTGCAAGATGCTGCCCAATGGGCTGCATAGGGAACTGAATTAACATTTTTCATCCTAGCAAAATACACATAACAAAACAAATATTAGTCACCTCGTTCAGGACCCAATATCAAACTGGTAAAGCTCAAATTTTTTCCTGTTGGTTCCTGTTTATGTTCCACTCCAGGTGGGGAGGGATGACCTCTGAATGGTAATTCACAATGGAGCCTCTGGACAAGGCGAATAGAGTCACCCGGAGAGACAGGCCTGTTGAGCTTTCTTTAGGGCTCACTGAATGTAACCAGACAAATAAAAAGGATTTCTGAGTTAGGTTCAATTAGCAACCCCTTCTGAGATCCCTTCCACATATACAAACACACACAAAGATGCGACAGACAGAAGGCCTTCCAAATCAGATCCCTAACCAAGAACTCCAAGAGTATCCCTTCCAAATTATTCTCCATCTGAGAAACCTCCTCAAAATCTTCCTGATTGAGGATAAGTCTCCCAAACCAAGGCTCTTCCTACTAGTTAGAAAGAACCTACCGAGACCCCCCAGGAGCCCAACAGACGTCCCACAATGGGGTTACAGACCCAGACACTCCATGGTGGAGTTACAAACCGATATCCTGCAATGGGGCTACAGACACCACACCATAGGGCTACTAAACCAGTCAGGAGAAGGAAGGAGGTGTTGGCAGCACCTAAGATACTCATCAACCCTACAATGGGGCTACAGACAGACATCTTATGATAGGGCTACAGTTAAGGGACATCTCCCCGTGACTATTTCTCCATTGCAAGTAAATCCATGCATGTTGGATCAGCAGCACCCCGCCAGTAGAGAGAGTACCAGAGTCAGTCCCCAGTCCAAGAGAAATAGGCAGCCAGCCACTTGGGCTGGCTTCTGGATCCATCACTCAAGGGGGGCCACCAAACTATGGGCAGGTAGCCACAAATTTGTAACAGCCCAAGGGGTTCACCTTGCCTGCTGCCTACACAGAGTAGATTAATCAAGATAGGGAAATTGCAATACAGAAAGAGTAATTCACACAGAGCCGGCCATGCAGGAGACTAGAGTTTTATTATTACTCAAATCAGTCTCCTGGAGCATTCGTGGAGCCAAATTTTTAAGAACAACTTGGTAGGGATGGGGTGGCGGGGAGCCAGTAAGCCAGGAGTGCTAATCGGTCAGGGGTGAAATCATAGTCTTCTTTCACTGAGTCAGTTCCTGGATGGGGACCACAAGATCAGATGAGCCAGTTTATCCATGTAGGTGGTGCCCCGATCCATCAAGTGCAGGGTCTGCAAAATACCTCAAGCGCTGATCTTAGGAGCAGTTTAGGGTGGGTCAGAATCTTGTAACCTCCAGCTTCATGACTCCTAAACCATAATTTCTAATCCTATAGCTAATGTTAGTCTAGTCCCCAGGCAAGAAGTAAGGTCTACTTTGGGAAAGGGCTGTTACCGTCTTTGTTTAAACTATAAACTACAAAGTAAGTTTCTCCCAAAGTTAGTTCAGCCTACGCCCAGGAATGAACAAAGACAGCTTGGAGGTTAGAAGCAAAATAGTGTCGGTTAAATTAGATCTCTTTCACTGTCTCAGTCATAATTTTGCTAAGGCTGTTTCAGGGGTATATGTGCAGATTTGTTATATAGGTAAGTTGAAAGTCATGGGGGATTGGTGTACAGATTATTTCATCATCCATGTAATAAGCATAGTACCTGATAGATAGTTTTTTTATCCTAACCCTTTTCCCACCCTCAACCTTCAAGTAGGTCTGTTGTTCCCTTTTTTGTGTCCCTATATACTCAATGTTCAGCTCCCACTTATAGGTGAGGTATTTGGATTTCCGTTCCTGTGTTATTTGCTTAGGATAATGGCCTCCAGCTCCATCCTTATTGCTGCAGTGGGCATGATCTCATTCATTTTTATGGTTGTGTTGTATTCAGTGGTGTTTATGTACCACATTTTCATTATCCATTCTACATTGATGGGCATTTAGGTTGACTCCATGTCTTTGCTATTGTGAATAGTTCTGTGATGAACATAAACGTGCAGATGTCTTTATGGTAGAATGATTTATATTCCTTTGGGTATATACCCCAAAATGGGATTGCTGGGTTGAATGGTAATTCTATTTTAACTTCTTTGAGAAATCACAAAACTGCTTTCCACAATGACGGAACTAATTTACATTCCCACTAGCATGGTATAAGTATTCCCTTTTCTCCACAACCTCGCCAGCATCTGTTGTTTTTTGACTTTTTAATAATAGCTATTCTGACTGGTATGAGATGGTTATCTAATCGTGGCTTTGATTGGCATTTCTCTAATGATTAGTGAGTTTGAGCATTTTTTCATGTGCTTGTTGGCTATGTGTATGTCTTCTTTTGAGAAGTGTCTGTTCATATCCTTTGCCCACTTTCTAATCGAGTTGTTGGTTGGTGTTTTTGCTTGTTAACTGGTTTAAGTTTCTTATAGATTCTAGATATTACACCTTTGTCAGATGCATAGTTTGCAAATATTTTCCCCTGTCTGTTTAATCTGTTGAAATTGTATTTTGCCGTGCAGCAGCTCCTTAGTTTAATTTGGTCCCACTTGTTTATTTTTGTTTTGTGCAATTGCTTTTAGCATGTTTTTCATGAAATCTTTGCCAGGTCCTATGCCCAGAATGGTATCTCATAGGTAGTCTTTGAGGATTTTTATAGTTTTAGGACTTATATTTAAGTCTTTAATCCATCTTGAATTGATTTTTTGTATTTGGTGTAAGGACAGGAGTCTAGCTTCAGCCTTCTGCAATGGCTAGCCAGTTATTCCAGCACCATTTATTCGATACGGAGTCCTTTCCCCATTGCTTCTTTTTGTCAATTTTGTCAATGATCAGATGGTTGTAGGTGGGCAGCATTATCTGTGGGCTCTCCATGCTGTTCCATTCCTCTATGTGTCTGTTTTTGTACTAGTACTATGCTATTTTGATTACTGTGGCCTTGTAGTATAGTTTAAAGTTGGGTAACATGATCCCTCTTTACTCATTCTTTTTGCTTAGGATTCTTCTTAGCTAAAAACAAAAACCACATGATCATCTCAATAGATGATCATGCTTAGCTTAGTGCGCTTGGCTTTATTCTTTTTGCTTAGAATTGTCTTGGCTATTGGGACTCTTTTTTGTTCCATAAGAATTTTAAAATAGTTTTTTTCTAATTCTCTGAAGAATGTCATTGGTAGTTTGATAGGAATAGCATTGAATCTGTAAACTGCTTTGGGCAGTATGGCCATTTTACCAACATTGATTTTTCCTATCCATCAGCATGGAATGCTTTTCCATTTGTTTGTGTCATCTCTGATTTTTTTGAGCAGCGTTTTGTAATTCTCGTTGTAGAGATCTTTCACCACCCTTGTTAGCTATATTCCTAGCTATTTTATTTTTCTGTGGCAATGGTGAATGGAATTTCATTCTTGATTTGGCTCTCAGTTTGGATATTGTCGGTGCATAGGAGTGCTACTGATTTTTTAAATATTTATTTTTGTATCCTGAAACTTGCTGAAGTTGTTTATTAGATAAAGAAGCTTTGGGGAGGAGACTTTGGGGTTTTCTAGGTATACAATTATATTATCTGCAAACAAAAATAGTTTAACTTCTTATTTTTCTATTTAGATTACTTTTATTTCTTTCTCTTGCCTGATTGCTCTGGCTAGGACTTTCAGTACTATGATGAATAGGAGTGGTGAGAGAAGGCATCCTTGTTTTGTTCTGATTTTCAATGGGAATACTTCCAACTTTTGCCCATTCAGTATGATGTTGGCTGTAGGTTTGTCATAGATGGCTCTTCTTATTTTGAGGTATGTTGCTTCACTGCCAAGTTTTCTGAGGGTTTTTAACACGAAGGGATGTTGAATTCTATCAAAAGCCTTTTCTACAATCTATTGAGATAATAATGTGGTTTTTGTTTTCAGTTTTATGTAATAAATCACATTTATTGATTTATGTATGTTGAATCAATCTTGCATCCCAGGTATGAAGCCTACTTTATCATGGTGGATTAACTTTTTGATGTGCTGCTGTATTTGGTTTGCTAGATTTTGTTGAGGATTTCTAGTGTGTATGTTCATCAAGGATATTGACCTGAAGTTTTCTTTTTTTGCTGTGTCTCTGCCAGGTTTTGGTATCAGAATAATGCTGGCCTCATAGAATAAGTTAGGGAGGAGTCCTTCCTCCTCAATATTTTGAAATAGTTTCAGTAGGACAGGTACCAGCTCTTCTTTATACATCTGGTAGAATTTGGCTGCAAATTTGTCTGGTCCTGAGCTTTTTCCGGTTGGTAGGCTTTTTATTATGGATTCAATTTTGGAACTCATTATTAGTCTGTTCATGGTGTCAATTTCTTCCTGGTTCAATCTTGGGAGATTGTATGTTTCCAGTAATTTATCCATTTCTTCTAGGTTTCCTAGTTTGTCTGCATAGAGGTGTTTGTAATAGTCTCTGAGGATTTTTTGTGTTTCTGTGGAATTAGTGGTAACGTCCCTTTTGTCATTTCTGTTTGTTTATTTGGATCTTCTCACTTTTTAAAAACATTAGTCTAGCTAGTGGTCTATCTAATTTACCCTTTCAAAAAACTAACTTGTGGATTCATTGACCTTTTGTATGATTTTTCACATCTGAATTTCCTTCAGTTCAGCTCTGATTTTGGTTATTTCTTGTTTTCTGCTAGTTTTAGTGTTGGTTTGCTCTTGGTTCTTTAGTTCAGTTGTCCCCAGCCTTTTGGCACCAGGGACTGGTTTCGTGGAAGACAATTTTTCCATAGATGGGGGTTGGTGGATAGTTTTGAACAAACTGTTCCACCTCAGATCATCATGCATTAGGTAGATTCCCATAAGGAGTGTGCAACATGCATTCCTTGCATGTTCAGTTCACAATAGGGTTCATGCTCCTGAGAAGCTTAAGCCATGACTGATCTGACAGAAGGTGGAGCTCAGGTGGTAATGCTCACTTGTCTGCCACTTACCTCCTGCTATGCGGCCTGGTTCCTAACGGGCAAGTTGCTTCCTTTCTCTCCCTCTCTTTTAGGGACACCAATAAGTCATAGATTTGGTCTCTTTACATAGTCTTATGTTTTTTTGAAGGTTTTCTTTATTCTTCTTAAGTATTTTTGCTGCATTTTTGTGTAATTCAGCTATTTCAGAGGATTAATCTTTGAGGTCTGAGATTTTTTCCTCAGTTTGGTCAATTTTGATATTAATATTTGTGATTATATTCTTATATTCTTAAAGTGAGTTTTTCAGCTCTATCAGTTCAGTATGGTTTTTTCTTAAAATGGCCATTTCATCTTTTATCTCCTGTATTGTTTTCTTGTATTCCTTAAAATCCTTTGATTGGGTTTCAACTTTCTCCTGCATCTCAATGATCTTCATTCCTACCTATATTCTGAATTCTATTCTTGCCATTTCAGCCTAGTTAAGAACTTCATTGGGGAACTAGTGTGGTTGTTTGGAGGTAAAAAGAGACTCTGGCTTTTTGAGTTGCCAGAGTTATTGTAGTGGCTCTTTCTTATCTGTATGGGCTTATGTTCTTTCAGTCCATAAAGTTGCTGTCCTTTGAATGGGTTTTTCTCCTTTATCTTCTTTGATGTGGTTGGGGGTTTGACTGTGGTACAAAGTGGGTTCAGTGAACTGGGTTCATTTATTGAAGATTTTAGGGACCCAAGGCTCAACTCAGCCCCTCTGGGATTCATGCTATAACTCTGGGGGGCTGGTATCAGTCCCTGGCTTTGTTCTCAGGCCCCTGGAGTTTCTCAACTCAGCACTCCTGGGATCAATGCTATAACTCTGCGGGGGCTGGTATCAGGCCCTGGCTTTGTTCTCTGGCCCCTGGAAGTTAGGCATCTGCTACATTGGAGAGGCTGGTGTGCTCCCAGACCACTGGCCACAACACTCTAATGGGTGGTGCCAGCCAAATTTCTTCATCAGGGCAGTGGCAGCAGGATCTATGTTCATGCCCAGGTGCCAGCAGCAGCAGCAGCAGCAGCAGCATGAGGGAGCAAGCTTGTTGGCTGGGGTGGGGTGCTGGTAAGTGTGAGGCTGCTGGCCTCCATGTATCCATCACACCAGTGGCAGTGGGAGTGCAGGGTGCAGGGCTGCTGGCATTCGTGTGCTTGTTTGCACCAGTTATGGTGTTGGCGCAGGGGCACGGTGCTGGCAGGTGCAGGGTGCTGGCCTCTGTGCTTGTGTTTGCACTGGCAGCAGTGGTGGCATGGAGTGGGATGCAGGGCCATTGGCCTCCATGTGCACATTCATGATAGTAATTGTGGCAAGGGGAAGGAGGCATGCTCATGCCAGCAGCAATGGTGCAGTGGGATACACATGCACATGTGCACCAGTGGGGAAGTAGAGGCGAGATCCATGCAAGCATGTGTTCACCAGCAAATTGGTGGGGTTGTGGTGGTAGGGGTTGGGCATAGGCAAGTGTGTGCCAGCAAAATAGCATGGGGGCAGGTGCAATGGGGGGATGGTATAGGTGGGCTGGTGTGCATTGGCAGAGGCTGTTCTGTTGGAGTTCCCTGACAGCCAGGTGGTTGGCTGGTATGTAGGCCTCCAGGAGTCACTCCAGTTGGGCACCGAGGCTTCACTGCAAGTGGGCATGGCCAGGCTGGGGCCCTGGGAGAGGTCGGCAGATAGAAGAGCCCTAGATCAGACTGGCCTTATCTCAGCAGCAAGGCTGCCATGCTCAGTTCAGGCCCAACAGTTCCCCTAAGGCGAAAGCCTCCTAGGGGAGGATAGAGAGTTTTTGGGGATGAGTGTCCTTGGCCATGCTCCACTGTTGACATTCCCACACCAAGTTCTTTGGGCTCTACACAGGCTAGATTCCTGCTCCTACCACCTCTCTAAGCAGCTTTCCATGCCAGCTCAAGTGTGCTTGGGGGTCATGGGGTCTCCTGTTGCCAGGATTCCAGAGGCCCATGGCTACAGCAGGTCACTCTTCCCCTGTTCAACTCACCTCTTCCCCAGGAGTGGTGGAGGGCCAGGAATGAGTCCTGGTGCATGGTAGCCCTGTGCAGGGTTCTTAGCTTCCTCCCACTTCAGACCAGTGTCTGTATCCTCCCTCGGTTCACTGTCAATGTCTTCCTTTCAAAGATCTGCTCGGAGTGCACCAGTCTTCCCAACGTCCTCCTCCCTGGATGGCAGATGCTCCTTTCCTGGCTGCCTGTAGCTGGCCTCTTGCCAAGAGCCCTCTCTCCCAACCTTTAAGCCTTCTCAAAATCACCCTTCTCACTGGGAACAGAGCCCTAGGAAAACATAATAAATCATTTTAGCTCCAAGTAACTAATACCTTACTGTCTATTGGGGATAGTAAAAGTAGAGACAGAGGGCATATGAAGACTAATGATTTCAAAGAAACTTGTGATAAATTCATGATTGCTATCCCTTATAGACATGAAATGGAGATATTTAGGAATTTTCATAACATAACCATCCCATGTTGACTGGGAGGAGGCCTTTCTACCCTGTCAAAGATTGTCCGTTGAGATGTTTGGGGGTCTGGAGATAATGAGGCATTTCTGTAGGCAACAATAAGACTCTTTTATTCTTGGCGACAGAGATCCTTCTCTTTCCTTCTTTAGAGCTTTCCATGCCCCTGGCTCCTGCTCTTGATGAGAGTTTCTGGAGCAGGTGGTGTAAAAAAATTTTTGGCTGATACTAAAACACCTTCCACAAATACTGAAATACCACACCAGGTGTTTCAATGATTTTGTGTCTCAGCAACGGAATTTTAAAAGGTTTTAGTTCTGCTTCTCATTTCTAACTATTCTCTACTTCTAAAAATTTATTGGTGGAGATTTCAATATAAAATGAACACATGCTTATTAAAATATTTAGAAAATATAGTAAATTAGAGAGGCAAAAATAGCATTAGTAATTCTATACCCCAAAATAACTACTGCTAATATTTTGGCTTATTATCATCCTGCAATTTTATTATGAATAGCTTTTAAATATTTTTGTTTGATTTACTTAGTAGTAATCATGCTGTATACACAATTTTGTATCCCTAAGTATAAAATTATAATGATAACGCAGCAGAAGCTTTTCCCCATATCATTATAAGCAGTTCATAAATATCAATTGTGTTTAGCACACTTGATTGAATAATTTCCTTACTGTTGGACATTTAGGTTGTTCGCACTTTTTGAAAAATGCTGTGATGAACATCTTTGTAAATAAAACATTTCCCACATTGGGAATTTTTTGCTCAGTGTATATTTCATGGAAATGTAGCTACTGTATTCATGTATGTAAATCACCCTTGCCAGTAGCTGATAAGGCAACTGTGCAAATTAGAAAGAGGCACCCTTTCCACTAGACACTCGACTGCCATCTACAGGAAAATTGCCTCCGTAATTATGCTTACAATTCTTGGAAGGTGAATGGTGCCTCTTAGAGTTGTACAAAACACAACTGTACAACCATAAGTGGCAGACCTAATGTAAATATTTCTCTAAGATTCCAAATTTCTTTCCAAAATTTTTATAGTAATTTATTCTCTTAATGGAATCTATGAGTATGCCATTTTATCTCACTTTAATCCATATGGAGAATTATTTTAATTGTTCTAATTTTATAAGGGAAATGGCACTTTATCTTAATTTATATTTAGCTAGATTACTAGTGAGGTTTAACGTAGTCAATGTATTTGTTGTAGCTTTCTCTAAGGAACAAAAAACTTTCCTTGTACCAGAGATAGGATTTTCTTTTTTCTTTTCAACAAAGAAATACTAAGCAGAAGTGGATTAATGAGGCCAGATCTGGCTTCCAGCTAGACAGAAGGTGTTTCATGGCACATGCCCAAGACTTGTGCTTTCAGTCTCTGTCGCTGGGAAAACATGTAATTGGTTCTTTCTGTTTTTCACCTTTCCTTCTGAGAAGGATTCCCCCTGCTCTTCTGTGTCACTTCTGGGCTTCTCCAGGGAAGTCCAGGGTGTGTCCTATGAGGAACCCACAGGGGGAGGATGCCCAGCATGATCTGCCCTGATGGAAGCTTCTGGCTTGCTCAGCTGTCCACCAGAGACCTGAGAGATTGTGGAGACACATGAAGTGAGTTCAATGCTAACAAGCTCTTCCCCCTGTGCTTTGAGCCACCTGTGGAGCTGGAAGGTCATGATCTGCCTGTGATTCCTCCCTGAAGCCCTTGACCCACAGCAAACCCGAGTCAGTGCTGCCCTTTCCACACTGTGAGGTTTTCTCAGCCAGAGCCTATGCTGAAAATTTATTCATCCAACACATGTTTCTGAGTTCCTGTGGTGTCTCAGGAACTGCTTTAGGCACTGCAGATAGTGGTCAGCAAGAACAGACAAGCTCCCTGCCCTCACAGAGCTCATAGAAATTGGCAAGGAAGACGCTGGGCGTGGTGGCTCATGCCTGTAATCCCAGCACTTTGGGAGGCCGAGGCAGACAGATCACGAGGTCAGGAGATTGAGACCATCCTGGCTAACACAGTGAAACCCCGTCTCTACTAAAAATATAAAAAATTAGCTGGGCATGGTGGTGGGTGCCTGTAGTCCCGCTACTCAGGGTGCTGAGGCAGGAGAATGATGTGAACCTGGGAGGCAGAGGTTGCAGTGAGCCGAGATCACACCACTGCACTCCAGCCTGGGCGACAGAGTGAGACTCTGTCTCAAAGACAAAAAAAAATCAAAAAACAAAAAAACGAAAGAAACCAAATTGGCAAGGAAGAAAAACAAGTGATCAAGTAGATGAGTGAGTAAATAAGATCTGAAAAGTGATGTCCTCATGAGTGACTGAATTGGGAGGTGCTTTAGAGTGGGCTTTTGAGGGGATGATGCTGGAGGCCTGAATGGCCTGAAAGACTTTGTAAATGACTGGGTAGAGGATGAAGGAGGGAATTAGTATCTATTGAGACATTACCAGGTACTTCGTGGATATAATTTTATTTAACCCACATTACAAGGTGTAAGGTGGTACCTGATACTCACAGGGATTAAGTAAGTTGCCCAGGGTCTTGCAGCTTATAAGAGTCAGAACTGGCTGGATGCGGTGGCTCATGCCTGTAATCTCAGCACTTTGGGAGGCCGAGGCAGGCGGATCACCTGAGGTTGGGAGTTCAAGACCAGCCTGACCAACATGGAGAAACCCCATCTCTACGAAAACTACAAAATTAGCGAGGCATAGTATCACATGCCTGTAATCCCAGCTACTTGGGAGGCTGAGGCAGGAGAATCGCTTGAACCCGGGAGGCGGAGGTTGCAGTGAGCCAAGATCGCACCATTGCACTCCAGCCTTGGCAACAAGAGTGAAACTCCTTTTCAAAACAAAAACAAAAACAAAAACAAAAAAAACAAAAAAAGAGTCAGAACCAAATTTGTGGCCAGGTGGGTGCAGGTTCAAAGCTTGTGCTGTTTCCATCAAACCTCATAATATGTGAAAGAGGGCTGATAGGCCAGGGACAGAGTAGCTGCAGTAGTTGGGGAGTTTGGCACTGGTGAGAAAGGATGAAACCAAGGACCACAGTTGTCCCCTGACTTTTAATCTAAAGTTATCTACAATTATAATTGCAGTGGGTCTTGGTGGGAAGGCCTGGCCTAGTGAATAGAGAAACATAATTTATTGGTATATAAAATCTCACCTGTGACCTCTTCTACCTCCAGGGACAGTCATCCTCTACTGAGGAGATATAGGAACATTTTTATTTATCATTTTGACCATCAATAGATAAAGACCCAAGTTGGAGCAAGGCTAGATCCTCATGAAAACCATTCTGTTCTGGCAGTGTTTAGCCTTCTGGAAACTGTTTTGGCTACAGGATGACTCCAGGGTTCTCTTGGGTTAGAATAATTCTGGAAAGGATGGGGGCAAAATAACCAACCTAGAGACTATCAGTGGGGCTCTCAAGCCCTGGTTTCTTTCCTAAGTGACCTATGTCTTAGGTCATTGACATTTTATGATACCAAATGCAGAAGGAAGGCACTAGGGCCCTCTGACTGAACAGGCACTGTGGCCAACATGCAAGATGGGCAGACCTGACTGAGATTTACTATGCCCAGGCCCAGGAGGGTCCAGTGGAAACTTTGACAGCTTAATTATGTTCTTACTCAGTCACCCACAGCTAATGCATCATCCTGGCAAAGCAGGTGTCTTCCATAAGGAGCACAACGGGGCAGATTGTTATCATAAGAGCTTGCCAAGGTCTGCTCTAAATTGTCCCTGAACCAGTGATAATAAACCAAATTGCTACAAATAGACACCAATTTGCAGAAATGTGAGCAGTCCAAGGGAAGCCTTTGACTTGGGGAGCAGAGGCGAATGTGTGATAACTATCAGATTTGCAGAGAAGGAACTTAAATTTATCTTGTGGGAGAGCAGTGGAGTCAACTGTGAAATATAGTGAATTGCTCCATTCTTTGAATTCCTAAGAGTTTACATTCAACCTCCTCAAACCATAGTTTGTAGTTTTGACAATATGCTCCAATGGATTGGATAGGTTTGCAGTCTTCAGACACTGGGCCACTTAAGAGACTAAACATTGGAGTTCTTGGATGAATAAGACTGAAGTATAAGAAGCAGAGAGAAATTTTGATCCTGTTTTGCAACAGGGATGTGTGGTGGAGACTGAAACTACAGATCCCCTTGGAAAGAAAGGATTTGGATGGGGCCAGTGTCGTTTAGTCTTGCTCAGTTTAGTCTAACATTTATTGAGTATTCAGCACTGGGGCTGGTAGGCAGTAAAACTCTGCTTTACCTGTCCAGATGCTAAGAGTTTAGTAGCTAGATGTGGAGGGAACACTCTGTTGGTGGCAGTAAATAATCCATCAAGGCATAATTACCTTGCTAGGGATAAGTCTCTGGGTGGAGGTCTTTGAAGGGTCAAGAAGAGAAGAGAGGAGAAAGTAAATGTCCTCCCCTTTTTCTTCCTTTTCTCATCTTTTCCTCTTCAGTTCTTATACTTTTTTCTTTCTTTTTTAAAACTAAAGCTATTTTTTAAAAGTATTTTATAAAATTTAGAAAAAAGAAAGAGGAGAAATTTTACTCATAATCTTACTATACAAAGACAAGCAATAATAACATTTGAGCCATTTTTTCAGTTTTTTGCTCTGCCTACTTTTTCCTAATTATGATTTCTTTTCTTTCTTTTTTTTTTTTTTGAGACAGAGTCTTGCTGTGTCGCCCAGGCTAGAGTGCAGTGGCGTGATCTTGGCTCACTGCAACCTCTGCCTCCCGGTTTCAAGCAGTTCTCCTGCCTCAGCCTCCTGAGTAGCTGAGACTACAGGCTCATGCCACCACACTGGGCTATTTTTTTTTGTATTTTTAGTAGAGACAGGGTTTCACCATGTTAGCCAGGCTGGTCTCGATCTCCTGATCTCGTGATCCACCTGCCTTGGTCTCCCAAAGTGTTGGGATTACAGGCGTGAGCGACCGTGCCGGCTCTAATTATGATTTTTTTACCTGTGTTTTATTTCACATTATGTGTTATTATGAATTCTTTATGAACAACTTTAATGGCTACATAATAGTCCAGCAGATGGGAATAATATCAATTACTTAGTAATTCTCTTATTGTTGAACATTTAGGGATTTTCAACATTCATTTTCATAAATAAATAAGAGTAAAATAAATATCTCTGCAAATAAATACTTCGCTGTATTTAAAAATATTTCCTGAAGATGGAGTGCTAAAAGTACAAATACTATGTTTAAGTATGTAAATATACTTACTACTCTTTCTTTTCTTTCCCTTTTCTCTCTTTCCTTCCTTCCTTTCTCTTTCCTCCCTTCCTTTCTCCTCCCCTCCTGCTTCCTTCCTTTCTCTTTCTTTCTTTCTCTTTCTCTCTCTTTCTTCCCTCCCTCCCTCCCTCCTTCCTTCCTTTCTTTCTTCCTCTCTTTTCTTTCTTTCCTCCCTTCTTTCTCTTCTTCTCAATAAAAATTCTATATATTTAAGGTGTACAACATGATGTTTGATATGACATATATCATATATACATACTGAACATACATATATATATATACAGTACATATGCATAGTGAAGTGATCACTACATTCAAGCTAATTAATATATCTATTTTCTTCCATGATTACCTTGTGTGTGTCTCTGTGTGTGTGTGTGTGTTTGTGTGTGTGTAGTGATAGCACCTGACATCTACTCTTGTAGCAAATTTCCAGTATACAATATTGCATTATTAACTATATTCCTCGTGGTGTACATCAGATCTCTAGACTTACTCATCTTACATAATCACAACTTTGTTGTCTTTCACTGAGTATTCTTGATATAACAAGAGGACAGTATATGTGTGTGTGTGTGTGTGTGTGTGTATTTAACCAAGTTGTTTTCTGAAAGGGTCATATACATTTATACACCCAAACCTATTTTCTTAAATTTTGTATTTTACATTAAATAATCAACACCACCACAATCACAACAACAAGCTTTACTAATTTTGTGAAATCTGATTTTTATGTTGGCAAATGAATAAAACATTCTTCAAGTACATTCTGAGGTCAAAATACACTTTGGGAATGGAATGTGTCTGTGAGTCACCAGCTTACAGAAGCAGCCTTGTCTGGCAGGGAGCTGGTGCTGCAGCAGGGGCCCTCGCCTGTCACCCACAGAAGTATGGGATCTGATGGTCAGAAACAGAGCTTGGTGCCCATAAGAACAGACACAAGGTGAACAGATGTCATCTACATTAACTCCCAGCCTGCCAGAGCCTTACACATGATACCAGCTTAAAGAACACAGAAATTATCCTTAGTTGCACAGTCAGATAATCACATAGATATAAAGCTTACAAAGTAAAAGCCAGAGTAGCAACATTGGATACCTTAAGTTCTGGGACCCCAAAGAGGTCAGGCCAAGGAAAGGATCAATACATAACATATTTATATTTACATATATATTCATAATATATTAATTTTTAGTTTTATTATAATTACAGATATCTACATATATATGTTAGCTTTCATATCTTATATATTAATACATGGTTAAATTATAATTATGTTATTGTGGGTTTTATATATAATATGTATAATATTATATATACATAATATGTATAATATTATATATACATAATATGTATATATTTAGAGAGAGAAATATAGGGTGCCTTTGTTTTTCCTTTTCTTTACCTGGCAGGCACACCTGAGGCTTCCCATTTTTTTCTATTACATTGTTTGTCAGGACTGTTCCCAATACTCAGTATCTGAGAAAGCATTGAAGAGTGTCTAGAAACCTCATCTGAGTCTAGCCATCACCAACACAATAACAACAAAAATTAAAGCTCACGTTTATTGCTTACCATATGCCATATACTGTGCTGAGTGTTTACATCCATTTCCCACTTGATTGTCCCAGCAATTCAGTGGGATTAGTATTTTCCCTAGTTCACAGATGAGGTGACTGGGAACTGGAGAAGTTAAATGACTTACTCAAGTTCACACAGTGAGTAAACAGGGGAGCTGTGGAGGTGAGGGACATTCTCAGTGTGAGGCAATGATGGAATCATTTCATGGTTCCACTCCTAGGTCTCTGTGCTTTGGAAATTAGAAGATCTTGCCAAGCAAGATGAGCTGTGCCGATTTCATGGGGCCTGATTCCTGAGTGGCCTTGTACCTGCAATGCTGCTCTTTCCTCCAATACAGTCAGTCAATGCCCACGTAGGGTTGGTTTGGTGCACAGTTAAGGCTTGCAGAAAAAGGAAATAACTTGTTTTACAATGAACCCAGAAATGAAATATCATCATAGAGAAGGTAGGTCAGTGGAATCGCTCCTAAACATTTTTTTAAAAAATAAGTAACAATAAAGTTTTAACATTCTTGCACTTTAAAAATGAAAACTTACAGTGACAAAGTCATAAGATAAGAATGCTCTTCAGGTTTAGCAGAGTGGCTCTCTGGTGTCTGTCTGGCTCTCACAGCCGGTGGCAAACTGTAAATACTAACAGATGCACCACAGTGAGCTGAGAGATCCCTGAATGCCTGTGGTGGGGAAGGTTGCACATAATGCAGGGGCTCTCTAAAAAGAGCCGCTGAGCCTGGTGTCTGTGCTGTCAAAGAAAGGGATGGGGGGAGGGACCCACACAAAGTATTTGCCAACCTTGTTACATGGGCTTTTCAGACTTCAAACCCAGAGGCTGTGCTTCTGAATGTTGCAAGCCCCATTTTTCTTAAATTTAATTTCAGATATTTAGATTTCATAAGACTTACATTTTATATCAGGAATCCAGCTCCATCAATACTTTCAAATGCATTCTCATCAGGAAATATGAATGTTTAGTTCAAAAAATTAATCCAGTCAATCACAGTATCAGATGGGAAATAAAATATGCAGTTAAGCTAGAAAGCAATGATAACATATCATGATCAAAACTGTAGTAGATTTCTAAGGCTATACTTTGAGGAAATTTTATAGCCTCCAACATCTAGATTATTTTAAAAGTGAAGCTAACAATAAACTTATTATGCATCTAACATTCAAAGAAGAACAACAAGATAAATCAAGGTAAAATGGGAGGAAGCATTAAGATGTTAGCAAAAATGAATGAAAGAGAAAACAAATAGGAGTTGCATGAAGCACAGTTTACAAAGGAGGAACAAAGTCTGTGCTGTGTGTGGGATGATTTGTCCTCTGCATTCCTGGAGCACCTTGCCAGGGCCCTGCCAAAACTTTCAAGTGCAGGCCCTGAGGGGCATGAAGATGGACCCATTCTGATCAGGTATATGTTTCATTTTTGAACGGGCCCTCTGTCAGTGTCTAAGCCTGCTGTCCTGCTAAGCTTGAGAATAATAATAATAATAATAATGATAAATGGCATTGACAGTAATTACTATATTTACTGAGCACTTACTAGGAACCAGTGGCCTTGTTGCATCAGCTTTTTAATCCTTACAACATCCCTAGGAGGTGGATGCATTTTCTACTGTTTTTAATACTAGGGAATGAGGTTTATTGTAGATATTTCATTTATTCAACTACTCAGTGCTGAAGATACAGTGATGAACAAAAAAAATCTACCTGCCTTTGTGGATTTTCATTCTAGTAGCAGCTTCCCAAAGTGACCTGTAGTGGAATTTTGAGGCTGACCCATGCTTTTCATCACTTTCAGTCCGCCTTCCTTAAAATTGGAGGCAACAGAAGGAGGAGTCAATTTTCAGCACAATCATACGCTGACCACATGGCCTCCTGGCTCCCATCTCTACCTTTTCCACTGGGGGTTCAACTCCTCAGTGTGGTAGTTCATTAAGGGGGTAGCACAGTGCCTGACACCCAGAAGAGCTTAGTAAGACAGCTAGTTCTATTAATATTCACTTTATTACCATCTGGCTCTGATCTCTTTCACCTCTCCTTAATGAGCCTAAGGCCCAGCACCTCTGTGTAGTAAAGAATTTAACTTTACCCAAAAAGAAGTCAGGCATTTGTCATTGGTTTCTGGGAGGTGAACTCTAAGCCCTTGGAATGTTATGACTGATAGGAGTTTCTTTGTTTACCTGGGGGCCTTGGGTTTTGCCAGAGAGTCTAACAATATGATTTAGGGTGGGAACTGACCATGTTAGAAAGACCAACAATGTGATGTGTGAGGGCTTTGGGTCATGCAGTATCAGTCAATCTCTGGAGGGGGACAGGAGGCTGAGGTCAACCATGTAGGCAATCAATCATCAAGTCTGCATGATGGAGCCCCAGTAGAAACCCTGAACCCTGGAGCTCAAGTGAGCCTCCCTGGTTGATGATACTCCAAGAGTATTGCTGCACCGGATTGCTCGGAGAGTAACAGCATCCTGGCACTGCAGGTGGAGGACAACTGGAAGCTCTGGGTTTGGAACTTACCCTGGACTCTCCCCTATGTGCCTCATCCCTTGGCTGATTGTTTGTATCCTTTTTCTGTAATAAACCATAACTATGACTATAATAACTTTCAGTGAGTTCTCTAAGTTCTTCTGGTAAATTATCAAACCTAAGAGTTGTTTTGAGAACCCCTCCAACTAGCAACTGGTGTCAGAAGTGAGGGTGGCCTTGTGAACTGTTCCCTCAAATTTTCCAGTTGTGTCACTTCAAAACTCCCCAAATAAACCTTCCCAGGTCTCATTTGTGAAGATGTTAGATTGAGAAGAACTGTCCAGAATTCTTATAAAATACATACAAAATTTAAAAATCGGAGGAAAAAAGGAAATAAATTCTAAAATATTAACAAACTACTCCACCTTCATGCCAGAGTCAAAGGCTGATGAGCTGTGAAGTTCCATCAGCGGCCAAGGCAGGCTGTGCCTCTTGAATAGAAATAATGGGCTCACAGACAAATTCTAAAACTATCACCCAAAGGCTCCGGGCTCTGCCTCCAGCAAGGACAAAGGCGCTCCTGGGGGTCTGCAGCTCACACCTCCTGCAGTGAGAACGACTTCCTGTATAACCTCAGGACATTTTTTCTGACTTACTCGATTATTTATTTATACCCTCCAATATCCTAAAGGGACGTGAGGTGACTTGAATACATATCTACACGCTCTAGTTAAGTAAGAGAAGCAAAAAAAGTTAAGTGAGAAAACTAGAAGTGAAAGAGAAAGAGGGTAGGGGGTAAAGAGGATAAAAGAAAAGAGAAGGAGCTGGGTTAAGATTAATATCCAAAGTGCATGCCATAAAAATGTTCTGCACATATTCATTATATTGTTTAAAACCTCCACGTTCTTATTTATTTGTTTGCTTGTTTATTGACTTTCTTCTTCATTTATTTTTGGCCTACATAATCTACCTTTGATAATTCATAGCACTAAGAGCCTTCTACTGTAGTAATTGCTGCCAGTTTTCTCCTGCCTGCTAAATGGTTTGTGCCCTGCACTTTGATGCTATGTAATTCATTTCCAGAGGATGATGATTGTTAGGTCTTCATTATGGGCTATACTTTTTATCTATGTAAAGTAACTTTCTCTCTATTTAATGCATTTTGCCTTGGATTCTAGTTTGTTACTAAAATGGCCACCCCTGGATTACTTTTATTTGTGGACAGCAGCTGTAACTTTGAGTAACCTTTTTATTTTAATGTTTTGGTGTCATTTGGTTTTGGCTGTGTCTTATAAAAACAGCATATGTCTATATTTGGTTTGCAACTTAATCTGAAAGATTTTGATTTTGAGAGAAGAGCTTCAAACAGTTGCATTTTCTTCACAGTTGATGTTTGGTGTTGTCTCATACCCACATTAAAGTGTCTAAAATAGAATTTGGATTTCCTCCACCTATTTCCCCAAATCTTACCACCTCTCTGAAACTAATATTCCCTCATCATCCTTACCTCCTTAATTTGTATTACCACACAGCCCAGATGTTACTATTTATGAGAAAAGGTGGATCTGTTTTTCTGGCAAGCATCTTTTTTTTTTGTTTATTTGTTTTTTGTTTTTTAAATGGAAGCACCGACCACAGCTTCTGTACAAGCAGGAGAGGCCGTTGCATAGGCTGGCTACCTTGTTGGGTCTGTGGGAGTAGAGCAGGCTGGCAGGCTGGATACACCCCCTCAACTGGCAAAATAATAAAATGGGCTTTGCTTGGGAGGTGAACTTCCTTCACTGTAGCTGTTCTGAGGCTTTTCCTTTTTTCTCTCTCTTCTCAAAGTCTCCTGAAGAGCTCTGGGGTGGGTTCCCTCTGCTCACCTTCTTTTTCTAATATACCACCCTTGTATTAGGAGGTGTCTGCAGCACATAAACTACCTCTTTTTTTTTTTTTTTTTTTTTGAGACAGAGTCTCACTCTATCGCCAGGCTGGAGTGCAGTGGTGCGATCTCGGCTCACTAAACTACCTAAACTACCTTTTTAAAGAGAGTTCTTCTTTGGTTTTGGCCTGAGGTCAAAGGCCTCTGCTTCCAGAGGCTCTGTGGTTTTAAGGGTTTATTGGGAGAGAATGGTCTCTGCAGCTGAGCCAGATCCATGTTTTAAATCAGTCATCTTGATGGCACCTTGGCCTACTCTGGCTGTGTGTGTGTGTGTGTGTGTGTGTGTGTGTGTGTGTGTATTTTTGTTTAATCTTGAGCTTTGAGCTTCCCCTGGGTTATCTTGGAACAAATTTTGTTCATCTCTGTTGTTTTGAACTATTTTCACTTCTTTGATTTCTCTGTCAATCCAATTTTTAGCTAGTTGTCTATATTCTTGAAATTTTAAAAATAATTTTTGGGGCATTAAGAAATTGTCTTCAATGACCCAAAAATTATTCAGGCATTCTTCTTGTTTCATTATACTAACAAATCTCTTGTGAAAAGGTAGATTCTCATGCTTCTCTTTACGGAAACTTGTGATCATTTCTTAAAAACCATATATTTGGGGTTCTATTGGGAACGTACACCAGATAATTTAAAAGCTTTTCCTACTCATCGAGTATTATTTTTAGAGAGTTGCTTTTTCTTGAATTCTCTTATGATTTACAAAGTCTGCCTAGGCCTTTATGCCCCCTCCCCTACCTCACCTCCCTCCTTGCCTTTTTCTATTTACTTATTCTTCACTGCAAAGCCATTTATCCAGTCCCAGCATTTTGCCAAGAAAACATTCAGTTCATTTTGTCCAGGTACAGTTCATAAAAAGAACACCCTTCGGCGAGAAAGGTTACACATGAATTTCCTGAATCTGTCATTTTCATTGGAGTTTAATTCATCCTAGATTGCAAGACACCCCCAAGTGCCCTTTTTAAAGCCTTCAGCAAGGGATAGTCTTCAAATGGTGCTTGAGTCTAAAAGAAACATAAATATAACTACTGAGTCATTTTTTCTTCATTGTTAGCAAATGAATGCGTGATTTACGTAGTGAACAAATACAACTTTTCTCCATAGTGCCTTTCTCATGATGTTTATGGGATGAAGTGGGTGAGAGTAAATGTTACAAGGTCATAGTGTATTAGTTAAGAAAAAGATATTACTAGAGAAGGTTATAAGATAAAGATCAGCAATATAAGGTTCTTTGTCCCTAATCTCTACCTCCTGCAGCCAGACACACTCTGCCCACAGCATTCAGGCTACATCTTGGCTGCAGGGGAGGCTTCAACAGAGTCACCACCTTCTTGTTGCTAACACTTTTAATGAGCTTTGATAGTAGCCTTGTTACTACAGGAACAAGATGTTTGGGTACTAGTGTCACATAATCTGAGATTAGATACCATTTGTTTAGGGGAGTGTTGGGATATAAATCTGGAGACAGGCCGGGCGCAGTGGCTCATGCCTGTAATCCCAGCACTTTGGGAGGCTGAGGCGGGTGGATCACGAGGTCAGGAGATGCAGACCATCCTGGCTAACACGGTGAAACCCCGTCTCTACTGAAAATACAAAAAAAAATTAGCCGGCCATGGTGGCGGGTGCCTGTAGTCCCAGCTTCTCGGGAGGCTGACGCAGGAGAATGGCGTGAGCCCAGGAGATGGAGCTCGCAGTGAGCCGAGATCGCACCACTGCACTCCAGCCTGGGGGACAGCGCGAGACTCCGTCTTGGGGGAAAAAAAAATTCTGGAGACACTGGGAGCCTGTGGAAAACTGTAGGTCTTAGTACTGAGAAGAGATGGACAATTGGATTCAGACTAAGCACCTACCACTGGTGTGCTGGAGGGGATCTTGGTCTCAGCTAGCTCAATGTCAAACATTTTTCAAAAAGATCTCCAGGTATCATTTTCAGACAAACTTATCTAGTATGTCACAGATTATAACTCATAAAGGCCTCTAAAATTTGATCAATAAGTGTAATGTCCTTAAGTTCTCTTTCAACTTTGAGAATCTATGGATCTGTGATTTTAATGCAATGTGTGTCTATTATAGGTTAACATACAGTTATTAATTTCTTATTTTTAACATTTTATTTCAGAATAATTCTAGATTTATAGAAAAGTTGCAAAGATAATATTGAGAGTTCCTGTGTACCTGTGGACACAGCATTGGAAACTAGAGTAAAGACCATCATTGTTATCAAGTTGCAAAGAACTTGGTGGAGTTGTGTCCATGTCCTAGGACTTTATGAAAGGCCAAATGTAAGAGCAGTAATCTAGCATATCTTCCAGAACAAATATCTAAGTAGCAAAGCATTCAAGGTTCTGCGTGACGTCTTCTGGCTGTTAATAGTAAAATGAGGGAAGAGAAAAATTATTTAAAGATAGAATTTAAAATTAAAATGGAAGCAGAATGAAAAGATTTGGAAAACTCTTAGTCTGGTCATTTAAAGAATTAAAAAGCGTACAACTTTAGCCTGAGAAAGCTGCAGGCCTGCGACTTCATCCTGTGACTTCAACCTGTGAGCAAAGCCATAGGGGTGAGGCCTGAAACCTTGAGAGTCCAGCCCTGCCCCAGTGTGTCCAGAAAGTGGGACATAGAGTCAAAGGATATTATCCTCCAGCTTTAGGACTTAATGTTGTTTTCTTTGTTGGGTTTTGGACTCACGTAGGACCAGTTACCCCTTTCTTCTTGCCTATTTCTCGCTTTTGGAATGAGAATGCCTATCCTATTCCAGTCCCACCACTGGATTTTGGAAGCACATAACTTGTTAATTTCACAAGCTCACATCTGGAGAGATATTTGCCTCAGGATAAATCTCACCTGAGTTTCATCCATATCTGATTTAGATGAGACTGGACTTCAGAGTTTTGAGTTGGTGCTGAAATGAGTTAAGACTTTGCCGTTATTGGGATGGAATAAATGTATCTTGCATGTAAGAAAGATATAAATTTTGGGGGCCAGGGATGTAATACTATGGTTTGAATGTGTCCCCCAAAGTTCATGTGTTGGAAGCTTAATCCCAAATGCAACCATGTTGAGAGGTGGGACCTTTATGAGGTGATTAGGTCATGAGGGCTCTACCCTCATGAATGGATTAATGGTGTTACTGTGGGAGTGGGTTCCTGATAAAAGGATGACTTTGACCCCCTTCCTCTCTCTCTTTCCTGCTGCTGCTCTCTTACCCTTCTGCCTTTCACTATGGGATGATGCAGCAAGAAGGCCCTTACCAGTTGTGGGCTCCTCAACCTTAGATTTCCCAGCCTCCAGAACTGTAAGAAAGCAATCTGTTCTCCATAAATTACTCAGCCTCAGGGATTTTGTTATACCAGCACAAAGAGGTCTAAGACACCTGCCAACATCTTGATTTTAGCCAAGTGATATTTCCTGGTCTCCAGAACTGTAAGATACATTTTTATTGTTTAAGCAATTTGTGTTAATTTGTTACAGCACTAATAGGGAGCTAATATAATACCCTTCACTCAGCTTTCCCTAATGTTAAAATCTTACAAAAACATGGTACAATTATTAAAATTAAGAAATTAACATTGGTGTAATATTGTTAACTAAACTTAAACTTTTTTCAGATTCCCCAGTTTTCCCACTAAACATTCTTTCTCTGCTCTGTGATCCATCAAGGATACTGCATTGTATTCAATTGTTATGTCTCCTTAGTCTATGCAATTACTAAGAGCTTCTCAGTCTTTTGCTTTTATGACCTTGATTCTTTTGAAGAATACTTGTCAGGTGTTTTGTAGAATATATATCAGTTTAGGTTTGTCTGATGTTTTCTCGTGATTAGAGTGAAGTGTGGATCTGGAGGAAGAAAACCACAGAGGCGATGTGCCCTTCTCATCACATCACATCAAAGGATATTACATGATGTCAACATGTTCTATTTTGGATAGGATAGTGTCTGCAAGTTTTTCCACTGTAAATTTCTTATATTTCCGTTTCTAAACTCTATTCTTTAGAATTGCTGCAATTTTTATTTCACAATCTTCATTACTGAAGGTATGCAAGAACTTTGAGTCAACAAAATTAATTTTGAATGCCAAATATGTCACTTTTGAGTTTTAAAAAGTGGGAAAAATTATTTTCTTTCCATTTGTCTCATGGCCTCATATGTAAAATTGGGAGAATTATAACTCTTAGGAGTGTTCTGATGATTACATGAGCTAGCACATCTATTTACATGACAAATATTTATCCACAATTTGCTAAGAATCTTATTAAGTGAAAGGGATACAGGTGGTAGGTATCAGAGATGAGTAAGTGATGATACAGACTTTCCCATGCAGAATTCACAGTATGACAGGAAAGATAAATTATTGAACCAGGAGCCACAGTGGAGCATGCATGTTACAGTTGGGGAAGTACAGAGTGCTGTGAGACTGCATAATATGAGGACCTATTGTAGATATCGGGAAAGTCACTTAGCACAATGTCTGGTAATATATAGGAGACCCTTCAGGATGGATTGATGTCAGTTCTCTTCCCTTTCTCATGCTTGGATCTCTCCCTATTCTTCCAATCTAACAGGATAAGATAATAGGATGTTTTCCTTTTTTCCTTGTAGGATTCAAGAGAGACTTTAAAGTGCTAATGTACGTGCTGACTTGCTGAGCAGGGACCCCATGTGTGTAGCTGTTTCTTAACTGTACATGACATTGGGACCACATCTTGCTTGGAGCTTGTCAGTAGCCTGATGTTGGGCAGAAGAGCTTTAGAGAAATGTCACTTTATCACATTGGTGTCTTCATCACACACTGATTGCCTGGTCTGAAATCCACCTCAAAACCATCTGAGCTTTCAGATGCACAAATGTTCACAAGCATTTCACAAAGTATTTTGTCCATGTGCATTTCAGATCATTTCACCTCTAAAAGTGAGATTAACCTTTCCAAGAATTGTTGATGTATACACATGTAGTAGTTGAAAAAAGATTTTAAAATTTAAATTTAAAAAGAAATTAAAAAATTAAAAAAAGAACCCCTCCCTATCCATCACCAAGATTTGCCCACATTTTCTTAATCTATCCCCTGATATTTTTTTCTGTGGCTGAATATTTTAAAGTAAATTCCATATCACTTCACCCCTATTTTCTTTGGTATGTATCTCTAAAAAATACAGTTTTTTTTTACATAATGACAAACCATGTCAAGTCTGGTAAAAAAACAACAGTAATTTTAATTTGTTGTTATCATCTACTGAGAATGAAGTGCTCGGGAAGGTGCACAATCTGCTTTAGAACTAGGTACAATGTTGGTCTCTGGTGGGACATAGGATGTGGCTTTTTCACTCATCTTTCTCCCTGTGTAAAACCACTCTTCAAATCCTCTCAGAGGGCCGGGCAAGGTGGCTCATGCCTATAATCCCAGCACTTTGGGAGACTGAGGTGAGCAGACCACTTGAGGTCAGAAGTTCGAGACCAACTTGGCCAACATGGTGAACTCAGTCTCTACTAAAAATACAAAAAATTAGCTGGGCGTAATGGCACATGCCTGTAATCACTACTACTTGGGAGGCTGATGTGGGAGAATCTCTTGAACCCAGGAGGTGGAGGTTGCAGTGAGAGGAGATCGTGCCACTGCACTCCAGCCTGGGTGACAGAGCAAGACTCCATCTCAAAAAAAAAAAAGAAAAAATTCTCACAGTGCCTTAGTATCTCTTATATCCTTATATCTATGGCAGATTTGGAAAAGAGGAGTTATTCAGCAATTGTGGGCCAAACTGAAGCAGGGTGAGTTCACAAGAAATATAGAGGTTCCAGAAATCAAGAGAGAGTTTTGTAAGTTGGATGGAGAGGAGGCTCTGAGAGAGATATAGGGGCTGTTCTTATTCTCACAGGGTTCAGGGACAGACAGAAAATGTAATTGATCTAAACAGGTACAATGCAAATCAGTAGTACAAGATTAAGCTGATTCCATTGCAACTGATCATAAACCAGCTAATTATTAGGTTGGTGCACAAGTAATTGAGGTAATGGCAAAAACCTTAGTTACCTGTGTGCCAACCTAATACATTGCTTTCTGAGACACTGTGTATGTTTGAAATATGAGGCCAGTGAAATAAACTGGCCAACAAAATATCTGATGGGCTGTGTAGTGTCACTAGTTTTTGACCTCTGTGTAGTTTTGGGAAAAGCTTGAATCAACTTGTCTCTTTTCACACAAACTATTGGATGAAATGCTGTTTTTAAACTGGTTGCCCTGTGGAGTCTACTGAGTGACAAAGTGGAGAAGACCTATAGATTGATGTGGCACCCACACCTCACACTGTATAGTTTCTCTCTTTACATTTTGTTCTTTGATTTATGAGTTCATGACACCCCATGATTCTATGGCTCAAAAGAGGTTAGAAAACCACTGGTCCAACTAAGAGAAAGCTCTCCCACCCAGGCAGTTCTTCAATTGTTTCCCTTCACAGAAGAGCTGAGAGCTGAGGGAATATGTCCCTTTCCTTTTCTATAGGATCTGGGCTGTCCCAACACAGGGTAGAGCTGTGACAGTCAGACCAGTCTCCTACTGCATGACCTCACCCAGGAGAAGCATGTGGCTGGATTCCCAACTTGAAATGTGTGCACTGAGGAAGCCCAGGTCCTCATTGCTCAGCAGGAGGGGAGGGTGCGATTGAATGCTGCCCAGCTGTGGGCTTCTCACTGGAGCAGGACCCCCTGATCAATTATCCCATTTATCTCTCAGCTGAATAAGGCTGTTAAACAATACCCAAAGCACTTACTGTCTGGGGAAAGCAGGCAAATGATGGCTTTCATATTTATACACTGATAGTTTCTTCTGTTATTTGCCTTAACAAAGCAACTCAACACAATTAGTGCAAACTACCAAAGGCTCCTGGTTATATTTAGCTAACAGATTCCATTTAAAGAGCAAGTAGCTAATGATCTGAAGCACAGACTGCTATCACAGCAGCCCTAATAAGCTGGAAATCAGGAGAATAAGCACTGAACATTCGCCTGGTGGGGGAGTGATTGAACCTGGAACTGCACCAACAGGTTCCACTCAGTGTCCTTAACTGTTTTACATGCAGATGCCCTGGAATTGGGAGGACACCTGAGGATTTTACCCCTTTTATGTTTTAATCCATCCATTTTTTTTTTTATTGTTAGCTCGCAGCTATGGGCGTCCCTGGGTCCAGGACAAAGGTGGCACCCTGACAGAACTCAGAAAAGGATGACTGAGATCACCTTCGAGGAAGGGACAGGCTCACTGTATCATGCTCACACCAACAATGAAAAACAGAAAAATGAATAATGACAGTGGGGTTTTGAAGAGTGGGAGCTGAAGGAGCGGGCTGGCACATGGGCCCTGCTAAGTCACGGGTAGAATGCGGACAAGGTGAAGGAAGGGACAGTCCAACTACAGAAAGGCATGGGCTTGGCCAGAAGCCCAGGACTGGAAGGCTTCGGGCATAGAAGGCGCCAGGCTTGGGGGCAGGTTGACCACAGCACGACTCAAACGGATTCATTTGGGTGTTCTTCAAATGTGATAAGCCTCTGTTTAGTGTTTCTCTTTTTATCTGTCAAAGGAGGAACCATAACGCCCACCGCATATGATTGGTGTGCCACAAAAATGTAATAACGTTAAAAATGTGTCTATACGCTTGGCAGACATAGACAGTCTGAGCACAGGCTGACTGCTTGGATCTTTGTCATTGTTGTCACAGTGCCGGTTCTGGTGGCTTTACCAGACATTAGCTAACAATGGAACATCTTCTCAGCACACTGTCTTCTTGCTCTTCAAAGAAGATATTTAGCTTCTCACTTGACTCTGGGTGTTTTCTTGAGCCACTAGTTGCATATTTTGATTTTTGAGCCAGACATATTGCAAATATTTTGGTAATTATTTGGTCCTGCACCAGGAGGGGATATGAATCCACATTTTCAAATTCAGTGTCTTTGTGATGGGGACATATTTAGGATGTGGCAAACAGTCTTACCTACATATTTAGGCACGTATCTTTGTGAATTGATGCTTAGTGGGGATTATGTGCCAGCCTCTGTGATGTGCATACATTTTTAAAATTTAATTCTCACATCACCTAAAAGAAATTATGATTCCATACTTCTTTTTATGGGAGAGGAGACTGAGGCGACTTGCTCACAGCCACAGACATTGACATTGGTTATTCATGATGCACTAAATCTTTTGTACTCCCTTCACTGTTTGACAATTACCTGTTTTGTAAATCCTGCGTTTCCAACACAAGAGTCTTAAACCACCACCGCTGCCGCCACCACCACCAAACCCCTGCCGTCCCAGCCTTCCTTGCTGCCGGGGTGCAAGTGTATAACTTAGATTCTACCAGTTAGATGCTAGCCATCTGGGAGGCCAGGCAGGCTCTGGTGCACCCACTTCGTGGTGGGACTGTGGTCAGAGGCAACATGGTTGTGGGTTCCTGAAACAGCAACTTATGTACCAGAACCACTGTGGTTTGGGGTGATAATCCTGAAAGTTTCACCTAGTGCCTGTTGCCCCTGCCTTTCCAAAGAGTAGATAATTTTTTAATAAATCCCAGAAAAAGCTTCCCACTGCCTACAACTCAGAAACTTGACTGAAAATCTGATTTGGGGTCTTTATTTCTCTATATTTTGTTAGAGCTGAGAAAAATGATTGCCTGCTACTCATGTCTCATGCTGCTCCTCTGTGCAGACTCTGGGATTGGCAGAGTCCTGCATCCTCGCCAGCCTCCACCTCTCCACCCGGTGACTGTCAGACCTTCATGCCGCAAACCCAGGCAGCTCCCACTGTCCCTTTCTTGGCAGTTAGGTTCCTATATTGAAGAAAACTCCAAAGAGACTTTAGGGTTCCAAGGCTGAGCAGCGCAGAGCAGATTGTACCCCATTGTGATTTCTTCTCTTGCTTTTCGTTTATGTTTACTTTTGTTTATGTTATTCTGTGTTATTTTTCCCTTTTTCCCATTATTTTTAAGTGGAATGCTTAGAATCATCATTTTTGATTTTTTTTAATTGTATAGCATCATCTAATGCTTTAATTTCACAAATAAGGTTTGCTGTACCAGGATCCCATAAGTTTTGCTATTTTAAAAATTATTTTAATTGTAACTTTACAGTTACTGTATTTTTTTTTCTCCCCTAAACTATGCAGTATAAGATGAAATTTACAAGTGTGGCTTTATCATAAGACTGGCTGGGTTAGAGTCCCAATTTCTATACTAACCAACATGTGACCTTGCTTGAAAGTTTACAGTGAGGACTGGCTAGATGATCCATGGGAAGTGTTTTGCTTAAACCAGTCTGTATGTGTTCATAATGAAGTTCCTTAGGGCACACTGAAGGATCTCTGAGTATTTGGGGTGGTGGAGGTACTGCCTATAAGTGGGCAGGAGTCTCTACAGAGGTATTGC